>NC_000016.10:59410985-59714015 GCF_000001405.40 Homo sapiens
CAGTTTTCCCTATACGTGATACTCGACCTCATTTATAGTTTTTAATAAATTTTAGAAGTGTTGCCCATTTTGGTGGCTAAGAAGTATTTCTACTGTGACAATAATGCTTTTGAAGGTTGGCTCTGAAACAGCATAAAGAAAGGCAGAAGCTACAGATTATTAGAACTGTGCAAGCTGGCCATGGTAATGTCCTAGTCCAAATTTAATTTTACTGGAAAGTCTTTCATAAATGATGAATGAACAAGGCTTCTACTACCAGTTCGTCTCCAATAAGCACTGAAACCACACACAGGAGAAGGTGAAGAACACATTTTCTGCAGAGACTGGTGATATTAAGCAAGAACCTGTCCTTTGTCTTGAGATATTTTTTTCTATCATTGTGTTGGACTGCAGAGATTTTGAATATCCTACTGTTTGTCACTCCAAAATAGGTCTTGTTGGGTGAGACTTTTTGACATCATAAGTAAAATATAGAAAATAATAAATTACCTGCTTTCATCCATAATTCTAAGCCAACATGCCTCTAGTCTTGAACTGGATTAGTTTAACTTGCCAAGCAAAAAGCATGCTGGTTGAAGCTCATTGCTCATCCAAAGCTCCCTTGAACTCGCTGTCATCTCTTAGGGATGCAGTCAGATTTGACTAAGATTTTGATCCTCTTCATAATTAATAGCAGACCATAATGTTGTTCCTATATTTACATATATTTAAAATATTTTGGTGTAATATAAATACTGTGTTCCTTATTGGTTTAGAGACAGAATATGATATTGATTTTTAAATAAATCCATAAAACTATTTTCCAACTGCAACCTTTATCAACTTTTATAACAATGGTTTAACTGTGTACCTTTCAATTATTATACTTCCAGTTGGACTTTATTAAGGCATTACTTGCTTTCCTTAATGAGACAACATGCAGTTTCCTTTTCTTTCTAATTTTTCTTTTTAAATGCATTCTTAAAAACACTATTTATTTTGCCTTAGAAACCATTTGTCCTTTATTTTTTCCAACAAAAATATTTGGGGTTTAATTAAAACTATCAAAAATGCCATTAAAAGATCATTAGTAAAAACACCTGCTGCCATTATTAGAAGCACTATTTTCCCTAGAGCCCAAAGGAAGCTTCAGCTTGCGCAAATGTGTATATCATGTACTTTATGGAATTGCACTGCTGGATTTCTGCCAGGGTTTGGAGATTTTTATCCATGCATCTCAGAAACTGCTCCACTTTATACAGCCTGAGAAAGTGCTATACCAAGTGAACAAAGTGCCTTACGATTTTGAATAAACTAATGGATCCAGGCTCCATTAGAACCTCACCTTCAATTTTAAATTGGAAGCAAGAGAAACTGGTAAAGTACAGGGAAAATCTTTACTCACCATTGCACTCCTGTCACATCAAAAGAATCCCAGATCTCTGCTGTCTGCAGCACATCTGTGATTTACCACTGGAAGGAGCTAGAGTAAAGAGATTGAAAGAGCACACCGTAACCAGGTATCAATGTGGTTAAAAATGACATAAAGGAAAATGATGAGCAAAAGAAAGACTGACCTTACCTTCTGAAAGACAGAGACTCAGGTTTGAAATTTCATGGCACTAAGATACATAAGATCATTTAAAAATGTTGAAATGTAGAACTTGTGCGTATAAGTCGTAAGACAAAAGCTTGAAAGCCTGTCATTTTCTTTTATTTTGCTTGCATCAAAGATTTGAAAGGGAAACAGTAAAAGAGATGGAGAGGAAATCAGAGGCTATTACTCTAACTCAGAGAACCTTTAAATCTTTACACAAAAGGGATCTCAGAAGAAGAGATCTGCCACAAATATTTAACTCTTTATTGGGCAAACCTTACAAACTTCTTATCTCAAATAAAGCTAAAATTTATTTGGCTTGACAGCAAAACTTTTTTCAGTTTAAGATGACTAACAATTCAGTAAGTATGAGAATACAGGTAGAATTAAAGTTGAAATTGAACTGATTTTTAAAATATTATTACCTGCTCCTTTTTTCCTGAAATATAAATTACTCTGTACTGATAGGAAATCCTGGGGTCTACATTCTTTTTTCGAGATGGAGTCTTGCTCTGTTGCCCAGACTGGAGTGCAGTGGCATGATCTCGGCTCACTGCAACTTCTGCCTCCAGGGTTCAAGCCTCCTGAGTATCAGGTAGCTGGGATTACAGACACGTGCCACCATGCCAGGCTAATTTTTGTATTTTCAGTAGAGACAGGGTTTCGCCATGTTGGCCAGGCTGGTCTTGAACTCCTGGTCTCAAGTGATCTGCCCACCTCGGCCTCCCAAAGTGCTGGGATTATAGGCATGAGCCACCGCACCCAGCCGAGACTACTTTCATAGTTAGAAATTTCTTCCCAATTTCTAAATTAACACAACTATTGATATTTCTTATAGAAAATAGGTAAATTAGTGAGTGTAAGTACAGAGGAATTACAGGCATATCTTGGAGTTTGGGTGCCAGGTCACTGCAATAAAGTGAGTCACAAACTTTTTGGTTTCCAGTGCATATAAAAGTTATGTTTGCACTATACTGTAGCCTGTAAAGTATGCAATAGCATTATGTCAATAAAAACAATGTAGGTACCATAATCAACAAATATTTTATTGCTAAAAATGCTAATGATTATCTGAGCTTCAGTGAGTCATAATCTTTTGGTAGTGGAGAGTCTTGCCTTGATATTGATGGCTGTTGACTGATCAAGGTGGTGGCTGATGGTTGTTGACTGATCAGGACAGTGGTTGCTGAGGGCTGATGTGGCTGTGGCAATTTCTTAAGACAACAATAAAGTTTGCTGCTTTAAGTTTTCCTTTCATGAAAGATTTCTCTATAGCATCCCATGCTGTTTGACAGCATTTTTACCCATGGTAGAAATTCCTTCAAAATTGGAGTCATTTCTCTCAAACCCTGCCACTACTTTCTCAACTAAGTTTATGTAATATTCTAAATCTTTCATTGTCATTTCCATGACGTTCACAGCATCTTCACCAGTAGTAGATTCCACCTCAAGAAACAACTTTTTAAATTCATCATGAGAAGCAACTCCTCAACCTTTCAAGTTTAATCATGAGATTGCAGCAGTTCAGTCACATCTTCAGGCTCCACTTTTAATTCCAGTTCTCTTGATATTTCCACCACATCTGTAATTATTTCCCCTACTGAAGTTTTGAACCCCTCAAAGCCATCCATGAGGATTGGAATCAACCTCTTCCAAATTCCCATTAATATTGATATTTTGACCTCTTCTCATGAGGTACAAGTTCTTAATGGCATCTAGAAGGGTGAATCCTTTCCAGAAGGTTTTCAATGTACTTTGCCCAGATCCATCAGAAGAATCATGATCTTTGGGAGCTATCATCCTATGAAATGTATTTCCTAAGTAATAAGACTTGAAAGTTGAAATTATTTCTTGATTTATGGGCTACTGAATGGATGTTGTGTTAGCAGGCATGAAAAGAACATTAACATTTTTGTACATCTCCATCAGAGCTCTTGGGTGATCAGGTACATTGTCAATGAGCTGTAATATTTTGAAAGGATTTTTTTTTTTTCTTAACGGTAAGCCTAAACAAGGTCTAAACAGTGGGTTTACAATATTTGGTAAACCATGTTGTAAACAGATATGCTGTCACCTAGGATTTTTGTTTTATGTCAAGAGCACAGTTGGATTAGAATTAGCATAATTCTTAAGGGATCTATGATTTTTGGAATGGTATATGAGCATTGGCTTCAACTTAAAGTCATCAGGTGCATTACCCCATTACAAGAGAGTCAGCCTGTCCTTTGAAGCTTTGAAGCCAGGCATTGACTTCTCTCTAGCTACGAAAGTCTTTAGATGAAATTTTCTTTTAATATAAAGCTGTTTCATCTACATTGAAAACTTTTTGTTTCGTGTAACCACTTTCATCAATTATCTTAGCTATGTTTTCTGGTTAACTTGCCACAGCTTCTACATTAGCACTTGTTGCTTCATCTTGCACTTTTATGTTATGGACACAACTTCTTTCCTTAAACCTCTGAACCAACCTCTGCTAACTTTAAACTTTTTCTCTGAAGTTTCCTAACCTCTCCCAGCCTTTGTAAAACTGAAGAAAGTTAGAGCCTTACTCTGGATCAGGCTTTAGTTTAAGGTTTAAGGGAATGCTCTGGCTGATTTGATGTTCTATCCAGACTCAAATCATTTAGGATCTTACAAAAAGCAAAACTCTGATATTCTATTGAGATTTATTAATCCATTCGCAGATCATTTGTATAAAATACTGAAAATCTTGCATCTGTCATTGCGTTGATCTTTAGGATTTATTTGCACAATCTTCGGGTTTGTTGAATAATAATTCCTTATCAAGATCCTTGAGCATTTCCACTCCACTCCAAAATACATATAAACTGGGTGAAAGATAAAGACTTTTCCAGATAAAGGATAGCTATTCCTCAGTAATGAGTTTGTGGGCAGTCCCATTTCTCCACTGGAAGCCTAACATAAAACTGGTTATATGAGGGAAAATGCTAAAAGGGCTGTCATGAAAACTAAAGCGAATTGTAAAAAAAAAAAAAAAAAAAAGCAAAGGCCTATTCATTATTTTCTAGTGATCTAAAGTAGCAACTATACAACCATTTGGCAAAATTAAGTTTTGACTTTTGCATCAGGAGAAAAATCTTTGTAAGCATTACTTTTTCATTATGCTCTTTTTATTGGTCATGGTTCTGTGGAATACCTATGGTTGTGAAATTTATTCCTGTTTCAAAGCACTTGGAAATGATATTTAGTGCTACTTTTTCAAAAGAAGAACTCCTTTTGTATTTGCTCAAATGTTTGCATTGTTTTTTCATTTAGCTCCAAAATGAATGCAATATGATTTATCAATCCAAGTATCAAAAGGATTCCTCAGAATGGCAAATTGTGACCAAACTTTAAAACACTAATTTAGAGGGAAGAATATTTCAGTGAAATCATTGAGTCCTGGCATCATCAAACTCAGCACCATAGAAACACACTTTCTAAGGAAGTCATCAAAATGAGTATACTATCTTTGGAGTAGAATATAGATTTCTCCATTTGGAGGTCAGATTCCAGAGTATACCAAAGACAAAAAAAATCATGAGTAAACCTAAGTTTTGTGTCAATATATCTGATACAAAAAGTCCATAGAAAAATAAATGCCAGTGTGTTCCATTGAAGTAATTTGGAATGGGATCAAGGGTACTGGATTCTGCTCCCAGCTCTGCCACTAAGTAGCTGTGGACAGTTTTGTAAATCACTTCACATTTCTAAATTTCAGGATTTGAATCCCAAAAGAAGGGGTTATATGGCCTAAAAGTCAAAAGTTCCTTACAGACCTGCTGCTTTGTAATCAGTGGGCCTCTCTTTATTTGCGGGGCTGACAGTGGGGAATAGGCGGATGACATTTTCCATGGCATATAATCAAGCCCCATATCTCTTAGAATTTCCAATGCATACTCATACCTGAAAGGCCACTATCTGGAAAATAACTCAAACTTAACCTCTCTAGATTCTAAGTGATCTCTATTATGTCTGTATACATACATTTGTCAGTGTAGCTCCCCAAATACCTTAGTTCTTTTTTATAGACCAGTCTTGAAATCAAGGGATTCATATAAAGGGCCTCCAGAGGGATCAGTCAGCAGGCAGCTGGTTAAGTCTCACATGTTGAGCCTTCTCTAGGAGTATGTTTTCAATGTACTGAAAAGTAACACTAAAGAAGTACAGAATTTAAAGTAGGTATTCTTGGACTTTTCTGTGAGTAACTTTGAAAGAACGAGAAAACAGTGGATGCAGTTGCCTGCATGACTTGGGTAATCAGTGTGGCTGAATCTACTTCTAAAAAAGTGCATAACAAATCAGTGGCCACGACTTTTTACTTAGGATACTGTGGCAATATATTTTACTCCTAATAATTGTACACCTCTCTTCTTTTTATCCCAATTGCCACTTGCCTTATTCAGACAATGTGTGACCTAGAACTTGGATGTTTCCCCCTAACTTGTCTTTTCCCTGAATGTATCCATCAAAATACCATTTTAAGCATGTTGCTTCCTGGTTTTAAAACCTTCAATGTCTCTACATGGTTTATTAGTAATGGCTAAAACCTACAGCTTGGAATTTAAGGTCTTCCATTCTCTGTCCCTATCCACACTTGCAGCCTTATTTTCTACTCTTACCTACAGCAAACTGTAGTCTTATTTACATAGGTCCAGTAGATCCCTCCGTGGTATTCACTACCACGTATTTGCTCATTCTGTCTTTTTTATTTTTTATTTTTTTGCCTCAGTGCATTCTCTCTCGTCTCCATTAGTGACATTCCATTCATCCTTAGAAACCCAGCATAAAAGCCAGCCTCCCTCATGAAGGTCGCTCTGTTATCCTTAATCTCTGCCTTTTGACATAAAAAATTATGTCCATTATTGCATTATCACATTATATTTTATTTCCACAACCTGTGTACATGTCTCCCTCCAAAGATTATTCCATATCCTGTTCATCTTTTAATTCTCAGTGGCACTCAGCAGAGTTCCTTGTGAAAAAAATTTTAAAAGAACTTTAATAAATTAATTCAATCAATCGCTACATCATTTTGACCATTTAAAACCATTTAAAATGAGTTTTTTTGCTTTGAACTTATCCATTGAAATTTTAATTTACTCTACATTTACTTTTCCTTTTAAGTACAATCTGAGAGCATTTATATGGAAATTGTGACATTAAGTAATGAGTTTGATCCTAAATGAATGACTACCATGGGAGCGATGTTGCCTTAGAATTTATCCAGATATTCTCATGTTATCAAATATATACTTATGTATATTATATATATATATATATTTACTATCTATGTATATGAAAAGAAAAATACCTCAAGTCAGGGAATCAAGTTGAAATTTTGGCACCAGTCACACTTTTTCATTATTATTATTAATTAGAGATTTCAAAAATTGTTTTTCCCCATTAAATATATAGCACACCATAAAATTGTTTTTGAACAATCCTTGACTGACTAATCACAAGTCTTATACAGTAAGAGCATATACCCTATGTTCAACAGAAAATCAGCCTGTAAGTGAAAGAATGTGTATGCATGCAAAGGAGAGAGCCAAAGGCAGTCGAACAGCTGAAATGGGGAAGAAAAATGGTTAAAGGGAGCATATCATCTGCCAGGTAGGCAAAAGGTAATGTCTAAATGACTAACGATCCAGTTAGAGAATTCTTTTAAGGCAAAAATGTGGCAGAGTAGAAAGTTATGAACTACGTTACATACTGTGACAAAAATACCCAGGGCAACCAAGTACCATTCCATTTTCAAATATATGTATGAGAAAAGCCATGAATAATGGATTTCATATAACATCTTTGCTATGCATTATTTAAAATATTTGTGCTGACTGAAAGTGATCATAATCTTTTTTCATTACAGTTTTGTGATGTGGTTAATATGCTCTGCTTGTTATTAGTGTAGGGACATGATACTGGATGTGTTGTTTTGAAGCCTACAACAGATTATCAGAATTTAGATGGAATTGTAAGCATTTGAAAAAAAATCTGTTGTAAAACATTCAAAAAGCTTTTCAATATCTGTACATTGTTTTGTCAGTAAAGGATAATGTAAAAATAGAATAGGTGCATGCTAAATTGTGCCTTGGTTAATTCTTCAATTGAGTGTCATGGCTTATTCTGCATTTCACATCTCAGCAAAATCTTAGGAAAGGGCTCTTTTCCCCCCTACACCTATCTTCAACTTAGTGGAACTTATCCAGGCAAGATAGAGTTACAATGCAAATAACTTTGTTGTGTGAAAATATCAGACTCTTCAACCAACATTTATACATTTAAACTTACTTCTCAGTTGGAAAGCATCTTAAAACCTGATGCCAAGTTTGGAAGCTACCTCAGAAGTTATTAAGATTGAATTGATTTTCTCACAAAGGAAGGTGCTGATGCATACTGGATATTAATTAAGGTATCATCAGATTGTTTTTGCAGCAAAAATATGTTACATTTGCTTAAAAAATATTTAACAAATGTCCTCCATGTTCCAGGTACTGTGCAAATAGTGCATCTATACAATATATATGTATATAGCAGCAAATTATATCTCTGTATATGCATATACATATATGAACATATATGTGTTATAGAGCATATATTACAGAACTTTTACATGTATATGTATATGTATTTATATATGTGTTTATGTGTATTTATAAAACAGTACAACTAACAGACTTTAATCCTTACATACAAATACCATTTCAGGGTCATACTGAATCCTAGGTCCACTGAGGGGTTTGAATGTTTGTAAATGTAGTTCTGATTGTTGAAATAGGCTGTTCTAGTATTCAGTCTAGTGTTTTCTCAGTGGTTGCTTTTGTTACTTAAAGTATGCTTCATACTATGCTGCATACATTTTTATGCATATACAATGAGATTTTATCACAATTTTATGCACAACTTAATGCATACATAATCAGATTTAATGCTGCTGCATGTTAACAGAATTACAACTGTTTGATTTACAGCTCTATCTGTAGAATGCAGAACAGTGCTCAAACATAGTAGATGTTCAATAAAATTTGTTGAATAATAAATGAGTGCATACATTGTTTGCATGTGTGTGCATGTATGTGTGATTACTATTTTCCCCATTTTGAAAGATGGTTGAAACTCAGGTTCAAGAGGAATTATAATAATACATAATAATTGTAATGGAATATACATAATATATATTTAATAACTAAAACCATCTACGCTTTTTGAGTGCTTAAGTAAGAGCCATGTCCTGGGCTCAGCCTATTCCATAATTTATCTCATCTAACCTTCACATACCATGTAGGTGGATTATTATTCTCATTTTACAGATGGGAATACTGAAGCTCAGAGGGATTGAGTAATTTTGCATGGTATCCTAATGTGAGCTACTGGCAGAGCCAGAAATTAAAATGGTTCTTTTGTTTCAAAAATTATTTGTTTATTTCAATAGTTTTTGGGTTATAGGTGGTTTTTGGTTACATGGATGAGTTTTTTAGTGGTGAATTCTGAGATTTTATTATTATTATTATATTATTATTAATTTATTTTTTACCCTTGCTCCACCTTTTCCAATTCTGAGATTTTAGTGCACCCATCACCCGAGCAGTGTACACTGTACCCAATATGTTGTCTTTCATTTCTCATCCACCTTCCAGCCTCCCCTCCCAAGTCCCCAAATTCCACTATATCATTGTAAGTTTTAGCATCCTCATAGCTTAGCTCCCACTTATAAGTGAGAAGATACTTTATTTCCATTCCCGAGTTACTTCACTTACGCATTAGTCAGGGCTCTCCAGAGGGACAAAACTAATAGGATGCATGTACATATGAAAGGGAGTTTATTAAGGAGAATTTACTCACATGATCACATGGTGAAGTCCCATGATAGGCTGTCTGCAAGCTGAGGAGCAAGGAAGTCAGCAGTGGCTTAGTCTGAGTCCCAAAACCTCAAAAGTAGGGAAGCTGACAGTGCAGCCATCTGTCCGTGGCTGAAGGCCTGAGAACCCCTAGCAACCACTGAAGAGTCCAAAGGCCGAAGAACCTGGAGTCTGATGTTCAAAAGCAGGAAGCATCCGGCACTGGAGAAAGATGAAAGCTGGAAGACTCAGCAAGTCAGCTTATTCCACCCTCTTCCACCTGCTTTTACTAGCCCTGCTGGCAGCCAGTTGAATGGTGCCTTCCCAGATTGAGGGTGGGTCTTCTTCTCATAGTCCACTGATTCAAGTGTTAATCTCCTCTGGCAACACCCTCACAGACAAACCCAGAAACAATACTTTACATCCTTCAATCCAATCAAGTTGACATGTTGACATTTAATTTTAACCATTATAACTTAGAATAATGGCCTCTAGCTCCATCCAAGTTGCTTCAACATATATTATTTCATTCCTTTTTATGGCCAAGTAGTATTCCATGGTGTTTATGTACCACATTTTTTTTTTAAATCTACTCGTTGGTCAATGGGCACTTAGATGGGTTCCATATCCTTGCAATTGTGAATTATGCTGCTGTAAACACACATGTGCATATGTCTTTTTCATACAATGACGTCTTTTCATTTAGGTAAATACTCAGTTGTGGGATTGCTGGATTGAGTGGTGGATCTACTTTTAGTTCTTTAAGAAATTGCCATACTGTTTTCCATAGTGGTTGTACTAATTTACGTTCCCACCAACAGAATAAAAGTGTTTCCTTTTCACCACATCCATGCCAACATCTATGGTTTTTTGACTTTTTAATAATGCCCATTCTTGCAGGAATAAGGTGGTATCTCATTGTGGTTTTAATTTGCTTTTTCCTGACGATTAGTGATCTTGAACATTTTTTCATATGTTTATATATTTTCTTTTGAGAAATGTCTATTCATGTTCTTTGCCCACTTTTTGATAGGATTATTTGTTTTTTTCTTGCTGATTTGTTTGAATTCCTTGTGGATTCTGGATACTAGTCCTTTGCTAGATTCATAGTTTGTGAATATTTTTTTTCCCATTTTGTGGGTTGTCTGCTGACTCTGCTGATTCCTTTTGCTGTGCAGAAACTTTTTAGTTCAATTAGGTTTCATTTATTTATTTTTGTTTTTGTTGCATTTGCTTTGGGGGTCTTAGTTATGAATTTTTTTGCCTAAGCCAATTTCCAGAAGTTTTTCCAATGTTATCTTCAGAATCTGTATGGTTTCAGGTCTTAGATTTCAGTTTTTGATCCATCTTGAGTTGATTTCCGTATATGGTGAGAGATGGGGATCCAGTTCCATTCTTCTACATGTGGCTTGCCAGTTTTCCCAGCACCATTTATTGAATAGGGTGTCCTTTCCCCAATTTATGTTTTTTTGTATGCTTTGTTGAAGATCAGTTGGCTGTAAGTATTTGGCTTTATTTCTGGATTCTCTATTGCATTCCATTGGTCTAAGTGTTTATTTTTATACTAGTACCATACTGTTTTGGTAACTACAGCCTTGTAGTATGATTTGAAATCTGGTAATGTGATGCCTCCAGATGTGTTCTTTTTGCTTAGTCTTGCTTTGGCTATGCAGGCTCTTTTTTGGTTCTGTATGAATTTTGGGATTGTTTTCTCTAGTTCTGTGAAACATAATGATGGTATTTTAATGGGAATTGCATTGAATCTGTAGATTGCTTTGGGCAGTATGGTCATTTTTAAAATATTGATTCTTCCCATCCATGAGTATGGGATGTGTTTCCATTTATTTGTGTCATCCGTGATTTCTTTCAGCAATGTTTTGTAGTTTTCTTTGAAGAATTTTTTTTTTTTACCTCCTTGGTTAAGTATATTTCTAGGCTTCTTCTTCTTTTTTGCAGCTGTTATAAAAGGGATTGAGTTGTTGATTTAATTCTCATCTTGGTTGTTGTTGGCCTATAGCCATGCTGCTGATTTTTGTACATTGATTTTTGTCACCTGGCACTTTACTGAATTTGTTTATTAAATCTAGGAGCCTTGTGAATGAGGGTTTTCAAGGTATACGATCATATTATCAGTGAAGAGCAAAAGTTTGACTTTCTCTTTTCCAATTTGGATGCCCTTTATTTCTTTTTCTTGCCTGACTGCTCTGGCTAGGACTCCCAGTACTATGTTGAATAGAAGTGGTGAAAGTGAGCATCCTTTTCGTGTTCTAGTTCTCGGGGAGAATGCTTTAAACTTTTCCCTATCCAGTAGGATTAAAATAAGTTTTGTGTTCTGATGCCAAAAGTCCCACTTTTATAAAGTTTGCAACATTTCCAATAGTTCAGATGCCAGCATGTCCTGACCATTGGACCTAATTGACTATAATAAAGAAGGCATACTGTAAATTTTGCCATAAACTAAATTGTTATTAATATTAGTGTTAGTAGAACCATGAGAGCCTGCCTAAAATTATTTAGAATAAGGGAACAAGTGTTTGGCTAGGCTTCTTCCCTTGATTGCAAAATTCTTTGGTATAAGGACTTTGATTTTAACTTCATAAAGTAGAAATAAATTCCCAGCCAAACATCTAAATTAGTATTTGAATATTTATCTAAGCCAAGCCAAGAAAGAATGATTATTTTTTAACTTAGAAACCTTAAGCACAGAGTTAGTATAATATACATACAAAAATGTATGTATTATAAACATACAGTTAACTGAAGTTGCACAAACTAAACACATCTATGTATTTGACCCCAAGATTAAAAAAATAGAATGTTACCAGAACCCTATCAGCACTCTCTTCTCCCCTCCACCTACCCATGATCCCTTACAATCATGAATTCTTTGCCCTGATCCCAGGATAACCACTATCCTGACTTCTCAACTTCAATCAGTATAGATTAGCATTGCTTGTTTTTGTACTTTATATAAGTGGTACCATGATCCTTCTTTTTTTTGCATATGGTTGTTCTTCATGTTTTATTTAATCATGCAAATAGACTACAGTTTATTTATTAGTGCTTCCAGCAATGAACATTTGGGTTTTTCCAGTTTTTGCAGTACTCTTCTGTATATTCTAATACATGTATTTTGATGAACATATTTGCACATTTTTGTTGAGTTTGTATTTAGAAGTAGAATTACTGGGTCATAAGATATGTATATATTCAACACAGTAGTTACTGCCAAATATTTTTCCAAATTTATGTTGCCACCAGTAGTATAAAAGTTCTGATTGCTCTACATCCTTACCAATATTTCATCTTTTTCATCTTTTTTTAAATGTTAGCCATCATAATGGGTGTAAAGTAGTATTTCATTATGATTTTAATTTACATTTCCTCATGACAAATTGAGATCAAACAGCTTTTCATATGTATATTGGTAATGCTTTTGTGAAGCATGTATTAAAATTTTGGTCCATTTTTCATTTGGGATGTCTGGCTTTTTGGGTATTAATTAGTAAGGGCTTATTTTATATTTTGGATACAAGCCCTGTGTTGGAGATACATCTATATCTATATCTATATCTATATTTATATCTATATAACTATCTCTCTCTCTATGTATATATATATCATAGTACTTCTGCTTTGTGGAATGAGAGTAAAGGTTGTATATAGAGTGATAGTTTACATTTATATGTATTTTCTTGTGTGTGTGTGTGTGTGTGTGTGTGTGTGTGAAAGAGAGAGAATAAGAAGACAGCAAGAAAGAGAAAGGCTAAATTTTCTGAACATTATGTAACAAATGCTTGAGTTCCTATGACTATTACTCATTTTATCTTCTTTACCATGTGGGTCCCTAACATAGTGCTCTCGAAGACGTATAGGGAAAAAAAGGTACGGACTTCCTGGTGATTTGCAAAATAAAATTCTTTGAGATTAAGACATTCACATTTCTTCCAGACTAAAAATGAAAAAAAGAGGACCTGGAAATTGTTTGTCAGGAGAACCCTAAGCAATGTAGTTGGCAAATTCATATAGTAATAAAACTTTGGACCTACATAGGGTTGGGTTAAATTTATTTCAAACATTTTCTACTCTAAAGCAAAACCAAGAATTAAATGAGAACAACTTTTACAAGCCTCAGTTGAGTTTCAATGCTCGAATGTCAAACAATATTAAATCTCAATTTCCAAGGGTTAGACACAGCAAGATGCCACTTGCTCTTTTCATGGCAAGACTCTCAATATTCTTTGTAGAGCTTGTCATGGTGTGTGTCCCAATTGCTGTCAAACAGGGTGCTATGCATTTTGCTAAATGTAGGTTTGAATTAAAAATCTTCAGACATTTATAGAAAACATTTATATAGTTTAGATATAGCTGAGGGGATTCTGGAAAAGACAAATGACCTTATGTTCTTCCCATTAAGAACTGACCAGAAAAAATATAATGACTGTGTTCTGTTTAGAGTAACAAAAGAAGACTGATAGTTTAATTAGCCTAAAATAAAGATTATAAGTGACAAGTCCTGTGCTGAAGCTAGCAAGAAAGATGTCATGATATATTTTAAAACAAAAGTACTTCTTGCCCCTCTGCTTCAAGGAAGGAAATGTATTTTTTTTTCTCCAGATACAAAAATCCTTTTATGAACCTGTCTGACACAGCACCTTTAATCATTGTCACACACGTTCCATTTCTTAAGTCAACTTGCTGATTTCATGAATTGTGTTAGAAAGCGGGAAGGCTATATTTTCCATTTTCATTAACTGACTCATTTATGCATTCCTAGCAAAGGAGAAAATATCTGTGAAAAGGACTGAGTGGAAATGTGCTATTTTTCTTCTTTGTAAAGTGGGAATCAGGAGGTTTGAGGCACACAGGGCAGTCCTTGCTGTTCAATCTGCAAGTCTGTTCTCCGTCTACAGCATGCTGTATTTATTTGGATAGCCTTATTCCTCTTTCATCTTTGAAAAGAAATCAGATCCTATCTATATTCAGGTTGGACAATATTCAAAATCTTGTCTAAATCCCCAGTTGTGTAAGCAGTTTTCATGGTTCATGTTCATTTGAAAGAGTAGTTCTCAAGTACTGAAACATATGTTTTCAACACAGACCACAGAATTTTCAGAACACTTTCAAAAGGTTCACAGATGTTTTGAAGCCCCTCCATACCTCCCAAAATAAGAAACTTTGAAATAAAGGCAGATCACTGGAACATTGTAACTTATTTCAAAGCCAATGGTAAAGACATATGTTAAAGCCATGTTTTCCATACACCACAGTTGCCATGCTCATTGCATACCAGATCTAGGAAGTGAATTGGTTAATATCAGGAGCTCTCCTGCAATAAAAGATTTCAATATAAATTGCTTCTGGTGCAGAATCTAGACAGACTTGATTTATTAGGGCAAGCCAGGAGAGAGAATAGAAAAAAATGTAGAATATAGTCCAGGAAGAAAGTGGGCAGGACCCAATTTATAGATGAGAAACTGAGATTCAAAAAGAATAAGTTTGTTTGAAATTACACAGTTTAAGAGAGTGTATGAAGTTTGTAAAAGCAGCTCTAGATGATTTGAAATTCTTATTCTGAGCTTTTTCTCACTGTTCCCTAATTATACCACCAAGATGATTAGCTCCGAAAGGTTCACTTCTTCTGAAAAACAACAAAGATTAAATTAAAATGGAATAGATTTGACAGTTTTAAATGACCAATGACATTTTGACCAAAATAAAAGTATCTTATATTTAAATAGGGCTGTGTAGTATGCATTAGTTTCCAGATATGCTCATTAAACTCTTCTCACCATTTTTGTAGTAAGAAGATGATGTTACATCGTTGTGCTATCAGGCAAATCAAGAATTGGTTACATCTAGGTCCCTTGAGTGTAGTTTTGAAGTCTGAGAGTACAAGGGTGGATGTTTGGGAGAGAAAGTTTAGAAAGCGATGCCTTATTTCTTGTACATCAATCTAAGAGAAGAAAACAAAATTTCTGAAATATTCCATGGTTATTTTCTTAAAGAGCAATAATGTATATGCAGAAAATAAAAGAAACACATGATCTTTCCATTCAGAATTTTTTACCCTTAAATTTTAACTCTTGCTCTCTCTTTATATGTCACTCTATATAAAAATACACACACCCATATACATGCACACACATATACACGCACACACATATACACACACACACAAACATATAAGCAAAGTAAAAAATAAAAAATAAAAATTCCTCAAATTACTTTCAAAAATATAATTCCCACTACATATGTAGCTTTTAAAGATTTGCTTACCTAAAGGGGTCAAGTTTGTACATTATTCCACATCTTCCTTTCGTTCTAGCTGATGAAGGGAGCTGTCCAAGTCATGTTCAGTGGAAATTATTTAACTCATTCTTTTGAAAATTTTCCATGTCATTTTGTTGTTTTGCAGCCATTATTACACATCAAGCTTCTAAATATTCATATGAAGCAATGATGTCTTTGACACCAAACTACATCAGTTCCTAAGTCAGAGACAAAGATGGTGGTTTGGTGAGATCCGCATCAGATTCCAGGATAGTGAACATTATCGTATGTTCTATTAAGTATGTTAATTAAGATGACTATATAACTATCATTTAAACAGGAGTGCTTTTGAAACGAAAGGGGTGCTATCCTCATCCCTTTTGTGCTGCTATAACAGAATACCCGAGACTGGGTAATTTATAAAGAATAGAGATTCTTACAGTTCTAGATGCCAGGAAGTCCAAGGTCTAGGGGCTTGTGTCTGGCAAGAGCCTTCTTGCTGTACTATCCCATGGAACAAGGTGAAAGGGCAAGAGAGTATACACATGCAAGAGAGGGAAGGTTGCTGAATTCATCCTTATAAGGACACTGCTCCAGTGGTAACAAACCTACTCTCTTGATAATGGCATTGATTCATTCATGAGCACAGAACCCTCGTGACCTAATCTCCTCTTAAAAGGTCTTACCTCTCAACACTGTTGCATTGGGGATTAAGTTTCCAACACTTTGATAGGGACACCTTCAAACCATAGCAGGTGCTATTAATAATTACATCTGGACAAAAGGCATAAGCCAGAACTGTGTAGGACAAACCAGGATATATGGTGATGTTCAATAAAAATACGAAATACCTCCCTTTCTTTTCCTGCTGTGCCCTAATATCACTTCCAGTCATTGCCACAATTCTAATCTAAGTGACGTTCTGTTAGTATACATTTGATGACCCTCTTTCCAATCAACATTTTGAAATAATAGTTTTATAGGAATTTCTTGAAAATATAATTCTTTTAAGATTTCCTATTTTAGGGTCTTGTTTAAAGGGATGTTCTGTGCCAAAAATATTTTATTTTTCCCTTTCTATTTTAAAATTCTCATTTTCCAGTTCAACTATTATTTCCTTGTCAAAATATTCTACCTCCAGTTTTTCTTTACTAGCTCTGGGAATTTGGGGAAAAAAATTAACCTAGAATTCATTATCTTTAAGTGTAAAAAAGGAGCAATTCCAATAAATTTTAAGTAGATAAAATGACAAAATATTATGTTGCATTGCCTATAAGTTGTAGAAAACAAACAATAAAACTAAACTAAAAAATCTTTGAACTGTATTCAGGTTTTAAAAAACGCTCAAAAATATTTTATTCATAAACTGATTCAGCTGGAAGATAAGACAGTTAATTGACCATCTTAAATACCAAAGGGCACACTAAGAATTTTATATATGAGAAAACAATAGATTCAAAGGGAGAAAGTTAATAAGCTTATCATTGATTGATTTCATTAACTGACATAATTTATGAACTAACCATTGATTTTATTATTTGATGCAGCTATCAAAACATACCCTGAAATTAACTCAGATATACAGGTTCCTAATAGCTATTTCAAAACCTGAAATCTAAAAAAAATGATATTAATATTCTCTCTCCAGGGGCTCAAGAGTGAGAAAGGATTGCTTATAACAAAAAATCAATCCAATTTTAAAATATTTTTATAAATTCCAACTGGCAGGGGAAAAGTTACTAGTTGAAAGCTACTTACCATTTTGAGAGGGTGTGTCATATTTCTGAGTTCATATTTTCATCTTGTAAAAGATGGTTATGGTCACCCCACCTCCGCAGCATGTCAAATGTTCACCTCAAATTTGGTTGGTTCCAAAGCAATTCATCTTCACGAAGATCTTAGCTATTGAACATGAGAGGTGGAAACACTCAGCTCCCCTAGTATTGTCAACCATTATGAGAGACATTCACAATGTTGCACTTTTATGTCTGTCCTTTTCATTTGTGTAAACCTCTTTCAGGACAGGAACTGTGCTTTCTTTTTTCCATTCTTAGCTGCAAGTAGGCACACACTCACTAAATATTTGAATGAATGGATAAGTGGCTTTCTCCTGAACTTTCCTACGGTTGCAGGCCACACTGAAGAGAACCCAGTCTATTCCTCCTTTATGTGCTTTTAAAAATAAGTTTTAGAATGATGAGATAAAACACATAGTAATGTATACATTTTATCTAATTACTGATAAGTCTATTGTAAAAGCTCTGTCTCTAAATCCTCTTTTTATACATAACTGTCTTTTAGAGACTTAAAGATGCCAAAGATAATGGAACCATTTTATAAATTTAATGGGAAGAAATTTTCATTAACAGCCACGATATGCACACAATCTACATTTGACTTATTCTCTTTGTGAGGGTCAAGCAGTCTTTGCCATTTCTTTTTAAATCCTTGTTGGAAAATTCCGAGTGTTATCATAAGATCATGTCATTTGAAAGAAACTCCTGTAGAATAAGGTTACAAAAAGCCACTTAGATTACTTTTGAGAAGTAAGAGTTGTTTTAAAATATCTGAATTCTTTACTCTTTTGAGAAAACCCAGCCTAGTGGGAGAGTCAACTCCTGTGAGGTAGTTTTTAGACAAGCCTGGGATTGAAGATGCCACATAATAGCTATCTGCACCTCTTGTTATTTATCTCTTGGTATGGGAAACATAGGCTTATATGTGGAGCTTTCACACAAATTCAAGAGAAGCTGTCCATTGTGAGAAGTGAAATAAAATGATGGAAAAGACTGCTGCTTTCATCCTGGGTGGGTGTGCTATCCACAGGTAACAGAGTGGCATTTGACAAAAGAACATATTCTCTGTCCTTGTTGCCTTGGGAGAAGAAGTAATTCTATGATTTGAAGGCAACTCTCTGGGGGATTTTTTTTTTTAATTGTTACCCTGCTATTCTGACAGGGATTTTAGATGGCTAGGTTTTAAAGTCTGCTTTCACAGCAAGGCAGTGAGTTGGAACAGAGAAAGTATATTTTCATTGCCACGTACTTAATGCTCATACTTACAGTCAAATACTTAATCTCCCTGATATTCAGTTTTCTAATCTGTAAAATGGAAATAATAATAGCACCTATTTCAAAAAGTGTCTGTGATGATTCAATGGAATGATTCTGTGTCTACATAAAGTGAGTTATTATTATATGTCAGCTATTATCATTTGTTATTAGTATCAATTAGTTATTTATCATTTGAGTAGGTTCATGGTCTGGGCAATGTGCTGGGTGGGGTGGGAGGTGGGGAGTGCTAAAAAAGTGATTCATGCTTCTTACATTCAAGGACCTGACAGAGCAAGGAGATAATGCATACAATAAAGAGCAATTCTATTAACAAATAATCCACCGAGTAACTAAAAAGGGGCCTTTGGAGTTCTGATTTGGATGAGATTATTTTCAGCCTGGGGTGGGAAGTATGTGGGGGCTGGGATTACTGGTTTGGGACACATTCTCTTAAATATGGATCTGGAAAGATGAATATGAGTAAAAGACATGATATAGGAAAACACTACATCCCACAGGGAACACCATAGACATGTGAAAACATTTGGTGGATGTGGGAGAATTGACAAGGAATTAGGTTTGGATAGATACTAATTTGCAAGGGCTATAATAAAATAGCAAATACTGAGTGGCTTAAATAACTGGAAGTTCAAAATCAAAGTGCTGGGGATAATGGCTTCCAGCTCCATCCATGTCCCTGCAAAGGACATGATCTCATTCCTTTTTATGGCTGCATAGTATTCCATGGTGTATGTGTACCATATTTTCTTTATCCAATCTATCACTGATGGGTGTTTGGGTTGATTCCATGTCTTCTCAGCAAACTAATGCAGGAACAGGAAACCAAGTCCTGCATGTTCTCACTTATAAATAGGAGCTGAACAATAAGAACACATGGACACAGGGAGGGGAAGGACACACTCTGGGGCCTGCCAAGGGGTGGGGTGTGGGGAGGGAGAACATTAAGAAAAATAACTAATGCATGTTGGGCTCAATACCTAGGTGACGTGTTGATCTGTGCAACAAACCACCATGGCACACGTTTACCTATGTAACAACGCTGCTCATCCTACACATGTACCCCAGAACTTTAAAAAAAGATTAAACAAAACCCCCAAATCAAAGTGCTGTCAGGGTTGGGTTTTCCTGAGGCCTCTCTCCTTGGCTTGCAGATTGCCATCCTCTTGCTGCCTGTTCATGTGGTCAACATCCCGGTGGCCTCTTCCCCTTCTAGCAGCCTCATTTTCATGGATCACTTCTGTATGACCTTACCTGCAAACATGGTTACATTCTGAGGGGCTGGAGGTGAGACTTCAACATACAAATTTTTGGGAATCAGCCCATAAGACATAAAAAGATTGAAAATGTAATTTGGTGACTGATTATTGTCAGCTTTAGTGGTTCCCTTGGCCTGTGGAATTTATTTCATAGACACCTGGAAGACACTAAGTGTTTTTGACAGAGAAAGGATCAAAGCAGTACTTTAAAAAGATTAATCTTCTTTAATATATAAATTGGATTAGAAAAAAGAGAAACAGAAGGATGAGACTCCATATAAAAAGCGCTTTGCCAAACTAGACCACAGCACTTTAAACTTGATAAGAAGTATTATAGAGGACCCAAGGGGAATCAAGTGAGAAAAGACTACAAAAGTAAAAATGATCAGGTTTGAAGATAGATTGACACCTACATGCAAAGAGAACATTATGATTTTGAACTTGAACCACTGGGAATTTTCCATGGTTGGAGGAAAAAGTGAGGAGGAATTTCTGAATTTTTTAAGAAAAGATGACTCTTTCAGTTTTGTACAATGGAACATCTTGGGTGTGCTATCTATCAGTCTTCTGAAATGTGGGTCTGGACTTCAGAAGTTGGATTTAGGGATGGACACAGAAGAACTGGAGGTGACTGGCAAATGAACTTATGCTTATTAAATCAGATCTTAATTTTAATCCCTAACAGTACACAGACATCCCCTTTAAAATGTGATCAGCCTCTTGGAAACAACTGACAAATGGTACAATCTGATCAGAGTTTAACGTTTTGGCTGTAAGTAAAATGTCTGTGGGAGACTTAAATCTCATATTAAGGGAAATCTGCTTTAGAAGAATGTTCAGATGAGGAGACATTGTGGAGCTCTAATATTGGAATTCTATTTACACGTATCATTTGTGATGGCTTGATACAATATGAAAAGATTGGGGAAATTCAATCTTTTGATTCATTTCTTTTAGAGGATGGTGTAAGTGCTTTAAGAAGGTTACTGTTTTCTAGTTGATTGTTACAGAGTAAAAGAAGACAAATGGTGACACAGACAGTCCCCATTAACCTCTTCACAAGCACACAATTTCACATGGACAAAATAGTAAATGAATTTCTTGTGCTTCTCATACATTCAATGAACATCAAAAATTAGAGTTAGGAAAAGTGGAATTTTGTCCTAATTTTGGCCCAGTTGGGTATGGCAGTTTAAGCAAATGATTTAGAATCTTTGTCTTTGTTTCTGTAAAATTTAAAACATGGTTCTGTAAGGAAACATTTTTAGTTAAATGACCTCATCAGTGTAGAAGGCACCTCGTATAATAATAGGGCATATTTCTGAAGACATTCACTGAGTCCCAGAATGCAGCATGGCTGTCTGCATTTCAGATAGGTGACCTTAAGAGAAAGCATGAAAGTAATGCCTACCACAGTAGCTGAAACATGTGAAGCACTGTATAAATGTGTGCCATATGGGTGAATGAAATTCAACAGACATATGGGAAAAGGCAGGAAGAAGAAACAGTCAAGGCATGGTGGTGTAAATGTGGAACTTTCAAAATTAGTCAAAGCCTTGGAGGTCTAATTGAGTTTCTACATCTTCCAGAAACTGGGAAGTGATTTAAAGAGGGAATCTATCATCCCTATTAAAAAATTATTTTACTCAAAAATGACCCAGACTAACTCAATTTGAACATGTCTGTATATGTAGCCCAACACTTGCTCACATATTAATAATAAACTTTCAAAGCAACTGCATTCACTGGCTACTGTTACGTCGTTTTTCCAAAGATGACATCTAAGTGAGAAAGGGTAAGTAACTTGCAAAAGGTTATCTATAGGAACACTGAGTTCTGACTGTGAGCTGCCTATGCTGAACTTTGAAAGGACAACTTTGTTCATTCTTTTCTAGTACTTACCAATTGTGATAGAGTCGTGGAAATTCCTTGGCTACCTAGCAATACAGTTCTCATACAGGCTTGCTCACTTATTTGAAGTAGTAGTTTAACAAAGCCAGAATTTCTTTTCGATTCCAACTGAGTTTCTTCCAAGCTCTGAGACTGTGAGGAGTCGCCAGTGCACAGGGCTGGGAGATGTGATATAATGATGCCTGCAGGCTAGGAATCTGGTCTCTGGGACATATTGTTTTTTACAGAGTTGCCATGAAACTTGGCTGGAGACCCAGCCCTCTCTGTTGGAGCCAGACTCTGAGTGTCTTTGGCTAATCAGCATGCTTCAGGGAGAAAAAAATAATTGCTGGTAAGCAAAGGCACTGTTTATCATTATCTATGTGGCATCTGCTTCCACAATTACATTTCTAGAAGATCTGGATAATCACATTCTTTTGCAAATGGTCTAATTAATGTGATTTTTGCTATTATTATATTTTGAGCATCGGTAATACCAAAGCTAATCATTAAAGGCCTCCAATTTTGCAGTATGCAAAGACATCTTATTGATTGACACAGAAATCCACAGAAAGTGACATGAAACAACTGGGACTATGACGACTCAAGTGCTTGCCAAACCCAAGGAAGTAAACTGAATATTGTGTGCATCTTTTTATTTCACAAGTTAATATCCTCCTATGCACACATGCAGAAAGAATAAAAAATAAGGCCACCATGTAAAATTGGGTTTGAATCTCAGTCCTGACACTAACCATCTGTGTGGCAGTAAACGTATACATTCTCAACATTGGTTGCCTCCCCTTTACAATATAGACTCTAATTTGTGCCTTAAAGCAATGTTACAAAGATTAAATGAGATGACACATGTAAAATGTACTGGCACAATAAATTATATTCAACAATTGACTTAGTATTCAATAAATTATAATTGCCTTTCTCCATAATATTAGGCTATTGGTACAATGTCTCTATTTTTGTTTTATGACTTGGCAAGTAGGAGTTTACTCATATAGACAGTGGAACCAAATACTGCAATTTGGCCTGTCCAGGATGTGTGGTTCACAAAGCTAGAAGACATTAGTTGACTAAACTAAAAGTAAGCATAATGGCCTCAATGATAACTGCTGAAGCACTGAATATCAGATTTAGCAATAATGATCAACAAGACTCGGGCCTTTTCCAATGGGTGCACCTGATATACAAGCCACCAGTCCTCTGATACATTTCATTCAACTATGAATGAAGTAGGAGAGTTGACAAACTCAAAATGAAACCAACTGACCAGCCGTATTCCAGATCTGAAAGAAAATGTGACACGTCTATCCATCTGAGGCTTAGGTATTTTTCCTTTGGAAAAAGATTTCTAAAATTAATATTAACATGATAACTATTGACTTTTATTGTTAGTTTATTCTACGACAGTAATTATGCCAGCTTTCTATTTTTATTCTCACTGCAAATATGTCAAGTGATTACTATATTTCTGCTTTTTAATAGATAACGAAACCAAGATATAGAAAAGTGATATAATTTGTCATAGAACAATACTTGTAGGTAATACAGTTGGGATTTGAATCCAGACCTGTGTCTATTCAAAACTGAAAAAAAAAAAAGATATTTCAAGCCTGTAGAAGTTTTAGACAGGGTTTCTTCAAGAGGCCTGGAGCTTTTGATCTCAGGAAACCTCAAATTCCAGTGAATTTTGTTTGGTTTGGTTTGAACACTTGCCTGTGCTTTGAGGAACCATAATGCATTTTGGTTCTTTCATATCACAGATATCTCACAGCAAGTCAGATATGGGGAGCAAAGATTTGTATCTTGTTTTTTGTTTGCTAGTTTTATATTTTTGTTTTTGAAACAGAGTCTTGCTCTGTCGCCCAGGCTGGAGTGCAGTGGTGTGATCTCGGCTCACTGCAACCTCCGCCTCCCAGGTTCCAGCAATTCTACCACCTCAGCCTCCTGAGTAGCTGGGATTACAGTCATAAGCCACCATACCAGGCTAATTTTTGTATTGTTAGTAGAGATGGGGTTTTGCCATGTTGGCTAGGCTGATCTTGCACTCCTGACCTCAAGTGATTCCCTCGCCTTGGCCTCTCAAAGTGCTGGGATTACAGGTGCGAGCCACCGTGCCAAGCTAAGATTTCTATCTTGTAGAGTATTTTACTTGAGAAGAGTGAGAGTCCATCAGTAATCCTTTGATGGGAATCAAAGATGCTTTGGAAGTATACACGGGAACTTCATAATTGCTCAGTATCTTGATGCTTGCTAAAAGAAGCAGCAAGATTTCTCGTTTTGTCAGCCCTTCAAACCTTATTTTCCAGATGAGAAGCATTGTTTCAGCTTTCTGAATCTGTTGGTATTCATCCACCTTCTTACATTTCCCAGCTCATGGGCTTAGAAAAATGCATGTAGTCAGAGTCTGTTTAGCAGAATAGAGCACCTGGTATCCTTGCTTGTGTGTGTGTGTGTGTGTGTGTGTGTGTGTAAGGGGCTTCTTTGTTTTTAATTACTTTTATTACGAAAATAACACTTCACATGATAATAAATAAATAGGTAGTATAAAAAGCTACAAATGAAAAGCTAATTACTTCTACACTCTGGACCTACTATCTCTCCTCAGTCAATAACTATACAGGTTCTACTATATGTTTATAGAGGAAAAATGTGTACATATTATAAATGGTAACTGTACTCTGTACAAACGTATACTTATAAATATATCATTTTTGTTTTTACATAGATGCATGTACCTTTCAGATAGTTTTGGCCTTTTTTTTTCATGAAATGTATCTCAGAGGGAGATTTTCAAATAAAATGCAAACGGAAAGCCAAATGTCCTAATAATGTTTCCTCCAATACCTAATCAAACAAACAACAATTTGAATACAACAAAAAATAACGATCAGCACTACTGGTGATTCAGATGCAGATGTGGTACCCAAACCATTTGACCAATACTTCAGAAACCCTTAGGGCAGAATACAGGCAATCAAATTCTGAGATTTATCATTAATTTAAATAAAAATTTGCAATGATAGTTAAATCACTTCGTCAAAAAAAAGTATGGCTGAAAGTTTTGCAAATTTAGAGATAAATACAAATACAGATCCGGGAAGCTCAGTGTACTTCAAGTGAGTAAGTTGTGGAGGAAACCACATTTAGGCAAATCAAACGGCTACAAATTAAAGACAAAGTGAAAAGCCTTGAAGCAGCTACACAAAAATAAAATATTTTATAAAGGGAAAGAATAATTTGAATAATTCATCAGAAACCATGGAGGTCAAAAGACTGTGAAACTACATTTTCAAGTGTTGAAAGTAAAAAAAAAAAAGCCATTGCTTTTTATCCAGTGCAAGTCTCCTTCAAGAATAAACGTGAAATAAAGACATTTTTAGATAAAACTAAGAGAATTTTTTTGTCAGCAGACTTGCATTCTAAGAAATGTTAAAGGAAGTTTCTCATACTCAAAGGAAATCATATCAGATGAAACTCATATCTATAGGAAATAATGAAGAGCATCAGAAAAAGTAAATACCTGACTCAATAAATAGACCTTTTTTCTTCTAGTTAAAAAAAGTATATATGACCACTTAAAACAAAAATTATAGTACTTTCTTGTGGGCTTTGTAAATGTATAGATATAATGCATATGTGAACTAGAGCATAAAAGATGGGGCTAAATGCATTCATATGATTAGAAATTTTCTATATTTTACATGAAGTAAAATATTTTATATATTCATGAAATATTCATGAACTATACATAAAATGTATTTTACATGAATTAGTATAGTATTAATTATAAGACATCTGTAGAAAAGATAAAGATATATATGGCAATAACTAGATCAACCACTTAAAATATAATAGGATATATCTAAAATCCCAATAAATAAATTAAATGGAATTCTAAAAATAATTATATAAATGTTTAAAAAGTTAGAAAAGGGAGAAGAGGATAACCACAACACTAATCAAAACAAAAGAAAACAGGAGATGAAGAAAAAAACAAAAATAATAAAAATGTACACCTAAGTCCAATCACATTGATAATTACAATAAATGTTAATGGACAAAACATTTCAAATAAAAGTAAATATTTTCTGAATGGATAAAAAAAGCAAAACCCAATTTTACATTGTCTATAAAATAAATAATTTAGCTACAAAGACACATATATTAAAAGTAATGGATAAAGAAAGATATGCTATGTACGTAGTTTAAGAAAGCTGGAGTGACTATAGTAATATCAGACAAAATTGATTCAAGACAAAGAACATCACCGGTAATAAAGAAAGGCATTTCATAAAGTTAGAAAGATCAATTTGTCAGAAAGACATAACAATCATAAATGTGTATGTACCTAGTAACAGAGCTTCATAATACAGGAAGCAAGAATTGATAGAATTAAGAGATAAATAGTTCAAACTCTTTACTTTCTACGTGATAAACTGTTTAAAATAAGGATACATTTGTATGAAATTCTCAAACAGGCAGAACAAATTAATGGTAGAAAAAACAGTATAGTAGTTGCCACTGGGATATAGAGACAGTGACTGACTTGTGCCACCAGCCCTGGCTAATTTTGTATTTTTAGTAGAGAGAGAGTTTCACCAAGTTGGCCAGGCTGGTCTCAAACTCCTGACCTTAAGTGATCCACCCGCTTTGGCCTTTCAAAGTGCTGGGATTACAGGTGTGAGCCACCATGCCCAGCCAGTTTTTTTCTTTTTATTGCTGAGTAGTGTTCATTGTATCTTTGTACCACAATTTATCTATTCACCCACTGATGTAGATTGGATGGTTTCCAATATTTGACTATTATGAATATAGGCATTATAAGCATTTGTGTACAAAAAAGATACATAAAGGTGCATGAATAAACCTTCTGGGGTGATAGTAATTAGTAATGCCCTTTATGTTAATAGGGATTTGGGTTATATTTATGTCTGTATCAATCTATACTATGAAATTTGTGAATTTAATCATGTGTATATTTTTCAGCGGAAGAAAATATAAGTATAAGCACATGAACTCCTGTTAATGATATGTGTGTTGAAGTATATAGGGAGAAGTATACTGACATCTTTATTTTAAAAGGCACTAACAGTAAAGTGGATTAATGTATGGATACAGAGATGAATACATGGATAGTTATTTTATAAACAAATACAGTAAGATGTTAATATTTGAATTAATGGTTGAATATGCATATTGTACTGTACTGAAGTGAATAGTGTTCCCCCCAAATTCATGCCTACCTGGAAACTGTGAATGTGATCTTTTTTGAAAACAACATCTTTGCAGATGTAATCAAGTTAAAATGATGTTACAATGGATTAGTGTGGCCCCAAATCCAATGGTTGGCATCCTTGAAGAGGGAAAGGTAAACACAGATCACAGGGAGGAATGCCATGTGAGGACGAGGTAGAAATTGGGGTGATGTGTCTATAAACCAGGAAATGCCAAGGGTATCCAGCAGCCAGCATAAGCTGGGAAAAAGGCATGCAACAAATTCTTCCTCAGAATTTCAGAAGGAACCAACCCTGCCAACACCTGGATTCTGAACTTTTAGCCCCCAGAAATAAGAGAGATAAATTTCTGCTGTTTTACACTGCCCAGATTGTGGACTTTTGTTACAGCAGCCCTAGGGAACTAGTAGTGCACATGTCCACTGTAAATTTGAATCTAGATGGTGAATATACATTTGGTCACTATAAAATTCTTTCAGCTTTTTTGAATATTTGAATATTTTTACACTGAAACTTTGGGAAATAATAAATAAGCAGAAGCTGAATTCTGTTACCCAATAGATGGTCATAATCCTTTGCCCAGATTCAACATCTGAGCTGTTTTTCAGAGCCACAATCTTTGGATTATACGAGAGTCTAGTTCTAATGGGAAAGACTCTGCAACTCTTTGGCAGATGTTACAGCTGCGATTCCTTCATTCTCTCTCTGAAGAGAATTAGAGCCATTCATCTGACCATACATAAGGCAAGAGGAAATACCTAAGTCCTTTGGTTTGTTTCCTGGATGATCTGAATTGACATTGATTCCTGGGTACGTAAAGTACCAACATCGCTTGTACATGGAGTAGGAGTGTATGAAGTTCTGTTAACAAATAGAGTATTGTCCCAGTCTACCTCACAGTGTGGCTGCTAATCCATTGGTTATATTCACAGATGTATAATTTTAAATAATATAATTAACAGATGGACACATCCTCATGTGGAACAAAAGCTTGACCTGTGGAATAAGAGCTATTTTAATAATAAAGGCCATAAAAAGCCCCTGAAACACTTCCCTCCACCCCGCTAAGATGATCATCTTTACATCCCAGGCTAATGGCAGATATTAGTACCACAAAGTCTTAAAAGATACAGGGGTCATAGTTCATCCCCATTTAATTCACCAGTCTAGCCTCTACTAAAACAGATTATGGGGAATGTCAATAAATCATTGTAAATTTAATCAAGTATTGGCCCTATGTTCATCACTGTGTTGGATGCGCTTTCCTGACTAGAACAGATGAACAAAGCTTCATGTACCTTGTAAGTGGCTACTGATCTAGCTAGTGTGATCTTTTCGTTACCTAACCGGAAGGAGAGTCAGAAGCAGTTTGCATTCACCTGGGATCTACAGCAGTATACGTTCAGTCTTGCCTCAGAGTCAAATTAATTCACTCTGCCATAAAGATAACATTAATTCACTCTCCAAGGAGGTCATGGCAAGGTGGACAACATGCAGAACACAATATTGCTTCACTATCGGACCCCGTGGACAAAACATGATAAGCCCTCTGAATGTCTTGGTAAATATATGGGCTCCAATGGTAAGGAAATAAAGATTCAGAGTCTGTCACATTGTTGAATATTTAGAGGTGCAGTGGTCTAAGTTATATCAGAACATAGTCTCCAAAGCTATGGACAAATTATTGTAGTTTTATCCTACTTCCATTGAAAAAGAGAGAAGTACTGGGTTTAAGTTTTTCTTTAAGTTTGCAGGCAGTGTATTCTGCACTTGAGAATACTCATACAAGCTATATATTGCTGCATAAGTCTTCTAGGCTTTCGTGAGACCCAGGGGAAGAAAAATCATGAAAGCAGCTCTACGTATTATGAGTTAAATTGTGTCCTCTCAAAATTCATATGTTTCAGCCCTAACCCTGAGTCTCTTGGAAAGTGAACTAATTTGGACATAGGATCTTTAGAGATGTAATTAAGCAAAACAAGGTCATTAGGGTAGGGCCTAATTGAATATAACTGATGTCCTTATAATAAAGGGAAATTTGGACACAAATATATACAGAGAGGGGAGATGATGTGGAGGCAACATAAGGAGAAGATGACCATCTATATGCCAAGAAAAGAAGCCTGGAGGATCCTTCCCCACAGACCTCAGAAGAAGCCACCGCACCAACACCTTGATCTTGGGCTTTTATCCTCCAGTGCCGTGGGGAAATAAATAAATTTCTGTGAGGAAATAAATAAATTTCTGTGATGTCACACAGTTTGTGGTATTTGTTATAGCAGCTATTGCACACGAATGCACTAAGTTATGCCCTGCTGCTTGGCATATTCCTGCATGCACATCTCATCTCAGAGATTTCTGGAGAACGTGAACTAGACAGAAAACTCTCCTATTTAATTCCTGAATACTAGTATTCATCTTCTGGTACCATAAGGTGTTTTACAGTAATCTTGTACATTTCCTAGCCAAGAGTTGTAATCATTTCTTTTAAAGATATGTAGAAATCGGTTTTTGTGCTGAGGGTCACTATTGCTACTGTTGGTCACTGTTTTTAGGCTTTTTTGGTGGAAAAAAGTAAGGCATACTTTTTCCTTTCCTCTTTTCCCTTTCCTTTTTCCTTTCCTTTCCTTTCCTTCCTCTCCCTCCCCCTTCCCCTCCCTCCCTCCCTTTTTTCCTCCCCTTTTCCCTCCCTATTTTCCCCTCCCCTCTCCTCTCCTTTTTCCTTCCTTCCTCCCTTCCTTTCTCTCTCTCTTCCTTCCTTCCTTTCTTTCTTTCTCTTTCTCTTTCTTTCTTTCTTTTTCTTCTTTCTTTCTTTATCTTGAAAAGAGAAATGTGTTATACATTTACATTGATATTTTCAATTAAAATTCAAGATTATGGAGATTTTAGTTAACTTCTTTCATTTCATATTTGTATCTCTTGAATTCTTGCTTCTGACACCACTGACATAATTTCTTTTGTACTCTATATCTGATCTTACTTCCCATCCATACGATGGATTAAAATAACTAGATCTATTTTGTCTTTGGTAGTTTGACTGCATATCTCTGATCCCAACTAGGACATGTACTTTTTTTAATTCTAAAAAGTTCTTTAATTCTAAAAAGTTTTTTTTACTTCTAAAGAGTACATAGTGCTTACTATGTACCAAGCACTGTTTTTTTTTAAAACTTAATTAACAATAATATATTATATAATTGCAAATAGCTAGGAGGAGGATATTGAATGTTTCCAAAACAAAGAAATGATAAATATTTGAGAGGATGGATATGCTACTTACCCTGATCTGATCACTAGACATCATATGTCTCTAAACATTATTATGAGCCCCATGCATATGTAAAATTATTATTTGCCAATTAAAAAATAAAATAAATATTTAAAGTGTGCATTAACTCATTTCATCCTCACAGTAACCCTATGACATAGATACTGTTGTTATCCCAGTTTTACAAATTAGAAAACTGAGGCATATACAAGTTAAGTAACTTGTGAAAAATCATACTGCTAGTAAATAGCAGAGCTGCTGTTTGGACTCAGGCATCTGACTCCAGAGCAATGTTCTTTAACTAAGTTGTACTGTCAAGATATCATAATGGGCTTAGATAAATGGTCCAAATAAAATAAAAATAGTTTTGATGAATTATAATCACTAACCTTCACATAACTCTTGGTGTCTCATTTTGCAAGTGTTTTTGTAGCTAATATCTTCTCACTTGCTGCTCAGAATCTTGAGAGAAAGAGATGCAGCTGAGAGAGGGAAGTGACTTGCCCAAGGACACACAGCTGGTATGTGGGAGCATCAGGATTTGAACCAGAGTACAAATTATTTTTATTTCCTGTATACATAGATGGAAACTGAGATTAAGAGGAGTTAAACAATTTATATTCTTCTGTCCTCCAGAGGCTTGGCATGGTGATTTGGAGGGAGTCCATGTAATACATGTACTAAGTCCAAGTTAGCGTCCATATCTATACTGAATAATTAGATGCTACTCAACTCCTCTGGTTCCTCTGGGGACACAGGACTCCCAGTGGCAACTTATGTTGCTGTCAGCAGCTTGGCGCTTTGAACCAGGGTGGCCCTGTAGAAGCAGGGGGTAAGGAGGTCAGAGGTTTTCTGTGAATTGGAGGCTCCAGGCTTCTGTTTGCAAAGGATGACTTGTGAATCCTTGATCTGTACAGACAACCAATGACAACTTTGCTGTTGAAAGCAAAAGGCTGTGACTTACTCCTCTCATTTAGGTTTGAATCCTAGCTCTACCTTTGGGGGAATACAGTTTCTGTTTCTGATAAAGGCACAATAACTCATCTCTAGATAATCAAAACACCATCTTAACAATTAAACAAATCAAAACAATTTTGTTTAATTTTACTTTGATTTTTAAAGCTTGCATTTATATTCATTACAATTTAATTTTGTTTCACAATTTTGAACCACTTATATGGTTTTCAAAGTTGAATCTACGAAACAAACTACCTTCAGAAAATATTAGATTTTCTATATATGCCTTTTATTATTTTGCTCAATGAACTCTTCACTCTTATTGTCTAGAGTTTTCTGATTATTACTTAAAATTTTTTCTAAGTTTTTGTTACTTATCCATATTTTATGCAAATTATAACTATTATATATTTTAGAAAGAAATTTTTTATTTCTAATAGGCCAGTGGTATTTATTTATTTACTTATTTTACATTTTTAAAAGTTAGTAAAATTTTCAGTTTTTTTTTTTTTTATGGCTTCTAGGCATTGTGTTTGGTTTGGAATGTCATTCCTACTCAGAAATTACTTTCTTTTTTTATATGTATATTTATTATACTTTAAGTTCTAGGGTACATGTGCACAACATGCAGGTTTGTTACATATGTATACATGTGCCATGCTGGTGTGCTGCACCCATTAACTCGTCATTTACATTAGGTATATCTCCTAATGCTATCCCTTCCCCCTCCCCCCACCCCATGACAGGCCCCAATGTGTGGTGTTCCCCTTCCTGTGTCGAAGTGTTCTCGTTGTTCAATTCCCACCTATGAGTGAGAACATGTGGTTTTGGTTTTTTGTCCTTGCTATAGTTTGCTGAGAATGATGGTTTCCAGCTTCTTCCATGTCCCTACAAAGGACATGAACTCATCCTTTTTTATGGCTGCATAGTATTCCATGGTGTATATGTGCCACATTTTCTTAATCCAGTCTATCATTGTTGGTCATTTGTGTTGGTTCCAAGTCTTTGCTATTGTGAATAGTGCCACAATAAACGTACGTGTGCATGTGTCTTTATAGCAGCATGATTTATAATCCTTTGGGTACATACCCAGTACTTCAAACTATACTACAAGACTACAGTAACCAAAACAGCATGGTACTGGTACCAAAACAGAGATATAGACCAATGGAACAGAACAGAGCCCTCAGAAATAATACCACACATCTACAACTATCTGATCTTTGACAAACCTGACAAAAAACAAGAAATGGGGAAGGGATTCCCTATTTAACAAATGGTGCTGGGAAAACTGGCTAGCCATATGTAGAAAGCTGAAACTGGATCCCTTCCTTACACCTTATACAAAAATTAATTCAAGATGGATTAAAGACTTAAATGTTAGACCTAAAACCATAAAAACCCTAGAAGAAAACTTAGGCAATACCATTCAAGACATAGGCATGGGCAAGGACTTCATGTCTAAAACACCAAAAGCAATGGCAACAAAAGCCAAAATTGACAAATGGGATCTAATTAAACTAAAGAGCTTCTGCACAGCAAAAGAAACTACCATCAGAGTGAACAGGCAACCTACAGAATGGGAGAAAATTTTTGCAAACTACTGATCTGACAAAGGGCTAATATCCAGAATCTACAAAGAACTCAAACAAATTTACAAGAAAAAAAAACAAACAATCCCATCAACAAGTAGGTGAAGGATATGAACAGACACTTCTCAAAAGAAGATATTTATGCAGCCAACAGACACATGAAAAATGCTCATCATCACTGGCCGTCAGAGAAATGCAAATCAAAACCACAATGAGATACCATCTCACACCAGTTAGAATGGTGATCATTAAAAAGTCAGGAAACAACAGGTGCTGGAGAGGATGTGGAGAAATAGGAACACTTTTACACTGTTGGTGGGACTCTAAACTAGTTCAACCATTGTGGAAGACAGTGTTGTGATTCCTCAGGGATCTAGAACTAGAAATACCATTTGACCCAGAAATTACTTTCAATGGCATGTTTCTTCTAATAATAGTATTTTATTTAACTTTTTCTAAAATTTATTAGATGTGCAAAGATAAAATTATAGAACCTTAATCCTAATTGTTGTCCAGTTTTCTCCACACCATTTATTAAAAGGCTCATCTATAACATTTAAGTGCCACTTTTATCCTATGAGCTGTCCCCACGGGTGTTCAATTGTATTTTTAGAATATCTCATCTTTCATTGTCCAGTTTTTCTTCTTCTTCTTTTTTTTTTTTTTTTGCCAAAGTCAACATGTTTTAATGTTCATATCTTTCTTTAACATCTGGTAAGGCAAGTTCTCCATTATATCACGGTCTTGGAATCTTTATGGCTGTTATTGGATGTCTAATTTTCCATATCTATTGTAGATTTAGCTGATTACATTCCCTCCTTAATTTTGCCAATATTTTGAATAGGATCTTATTGAATAGATAGTTTGTATTAGAATGAGTTCCCTTCTGGTAATTTCAAGAAATGTGTTTCCAGTTATTTGTTACCACAAATAAGGTGGTAATAAGCTTTAACATCACTAGTTCTCTCAGAATAGAATTCTAGGAATGAGATTACAGACTGTGTCAAGGGGTATAGATATTTGTGTCAAGGGTTATAGAAAAGCAAATTCACAATATATCGTTTTCCATATTGTGAATTTGCTTTCCTGAAAGATTGTAGCAGGTGCAAGACCTGTTTTTCTTTGCCCTCTGACCAGAACCGAATGTCTGAACATACTATGTCTAAGTAGTTCAGAAATTTCCCCCACCAAAACACCCATAAAGTATGATGGGGATGAGACTCACCAGTACAGTTTGGAGGTACTATCGTAGATTTGCTTCCTTTGTTGTACTGATGGGAAAATCAAGATCCAGGAATGATTAAGGCCTGGTTAGAATTACACAGAAGTTCACATTAAAGAAGGGACCAGTGGCCAGGTTCTTGACTTCTAAGAACATCTGTATGTGCACACATACACAAATGTTTTCATCTTAGATATATTCCCTAGTTAGAGTTCAAGCTATTCTTCATTAATATAGTGGAATGTTATTTATAATCTACAAAGTAACAACCAAGTAAGATTTTTACCCTCTTAACAAGTTTTTAAGTGTACCGTATCAGTATTAGTAACTACATGCACCTGTAGTATAGATCATCTCCAGAACATTTTAATCCTGAAAGACTGAAACTCTATATCCATTGTTTCCATCCATAAACTTGGTAGCTTCTTCTTCTTTTTTTTTAACTTTTATTTTAAGTTCAGGGATACATGTGCAGGTTTGTTATATAAGTAAACTCGGGTTGCAGATTATTTTGTAACCCATGTATTAATCAAGCCTTGTACCCTTTAGTTATTTTTCCCTGATCCTCCCCCTCCTCCCGCCCTCCATCCTCAAGGAGGCCCCAGTGTGTTGTTCCCCTCTTTGTGTCCATGTGTTCTTATCATTTAGCTCCCACTTATAAGTGAGAATATGCAGTATTTGGTTTCCTGTTCCTGTGTTAGTTTGCTAAGGATAATGGTCTCCAGCTCCATCCATGTTCCTGTAAAGGATATGATCTTGTTCTTTTTATGGCTGCATAGTATTCCATGGTGTATATGTACTACATTTTCTTTATCCAGTCTATCATTGATGGGCATTTAGGTTGATTCCATGTCTTTGCTATTGCAAATAGCACTGCAATAAACGCATGTGTCTTTATGATACAACATTTTATTTCTCTGGGTATATACTCAATAATGGGATTGCTGGGTTAAGTGATAGTTCTTTTTTTTTTAGGTCTTTGAGGAATTGCCACACTGCTTTCCACAATGGTTGTACGAATTTACACTCCCACCAACACTGTATAGCATCCCTTTTCTCTACAATTTTTATAATATCTATTTTTTTGACTTTCTAATAATTGCCATTCTGACTGGTGTGAGATGGTATCTCATTGTGGTTTGAGTTGCATTTCTCTAATGATCAGTGATGTTGAGCTTTTTCTCATATGCTTGTTGGCTGCATGTATGTCTTCTTTTGGAAAGTATCTGTTCATGTCCTTTGCCCACTTTTTAATGGAATTGTTTGTTTTCCTGCAATTTCTTTAATTTCCTTATAGATGCTGGATATTAGGCTTTGTTAGGTGCATAGTTTGCAAAAATGTTCTCCCATCCTTTAGGTTGTCTGTTCACTCTGGTGATAGTTTCTTTTGCTGTGCAGAAGCTCTTTAGTTTAATTATATCCACTTTGTCAATTTCTGCTTTTGTTCAAATTGCTTTTGGTCTCTTTGTCGTGAAATCTTTTCCCATTTCTATGCTCAGAATGATATTGCCTAGGTTGTCTTCCAGGGTTTTGTAGTTTTGGGTTTTACATTTACAATTTTTAATCCATCTTGATTTAATTTTTGTATATAGTACAAGGAAGGGGTCCAGTTTCATTGTTCTGCATATGGCTAGCCAGTTATCTCAGCACCATTTATTGTATAGGGAGTCCGTCCATTCCCCATTGCTTGTTTTTGTTAGCTTTGTCAAAGATCAAATGGTTGTAGGCATGTGACCTTATTTGTGGGCTCTGTATTCTGTTCCATTGGTCTATGTGTCTAGTTTTGCATCAGTATCATGCCATTTTGGTTACTATAGTCTTGTAGTATAGTTTGAAGTTGGGTAGTGTGATGCTTCTAGCTTTTTTTTCTTTTTTTTTGCCTAGGATTGCCTGGGCTATTCAGACTTTTTTTGGTTCCATATGAATACTAAAATAGTTTTTTTCTAATTCTATGAATAATGTCATTCATAGTTTGATAGGAATAGCATTGAATTTATAAATTGCTTTTGGCAATGTGGCCATTTTAATGATATTGATTCTTTCCATCCATGAGCATGGAATGTTTTTCCATTTGTTTGTGTCATCTCTGATTTCTTGGAACAGTGTTTTGTAGTTCTCATTGTAGAGATCTTTCACTTCCCTGGTTAGCTGTATTCCTGTGTATTTTGTTATTTTTTTTTGTAGTGATTGTGAATAGGATTGCATTCCTGATTTGGCTCTTGGCCTAACTGTTGATAATGTACAGGGATGCTAGTGATTTTTGTACGTTGATTTTGTATCCTGAGACTTTACTGAAGTTGTTCATCAGTTTAAGGAGCTTCTGGGCTGAGAATGTGGGGTTTTCTAGATAGAAAAACATATCTGCAAACAGGAATAGTTTGACTTCCTCTGTTCCTATTTGGATGCCCTTTCTTTCTTCTCTTGCCTGATGTTCTGGCCAGGACTTCCAATACTATATTGAATAAAAGTGGTGAGAGAGGGCATCCTTGTTTGTGCTGGTTTTCAAGGGGAATGCTTCCAGCTTTTGCCCATTGAGTATGATGTTTGGATAGTTTCTAAATCACAGAAATGTATTTCTCAAAGTTCTGGAGGCTGGAAAGTCCAAGATCAAGAAGTTGCCAGTTTTGGTGGCTAGTGAGGACCCATTCCTCATTAGATAGCTCCTTCTTGCTGCATCCTCATGTGGCAAATGGGGCAAGGCAGTTTTCTAGGGCCTCCTTTATAGGGGTACTAATATCATCCATGAGTGCTCCATCCTCATGACTTGATCATGTCCCAAAGATTCCACCTCATAATACTATCATATTGGGGATTAGGTTTCAACATGTGAATCTTGGTGGGGGACAGAAGCATTAAGAGCATAATACCTATTAAACAGCAACTTTGCATATGCCTCTCCTCAGCTTCTGGAAACCGTCATTCTACCTTCTGTTTTGATAAGTTTGATTACTTACTTACTTCACAGAAGTGGAATCATGCAGTATGTGTCCTTCTGTGACTGACTTATTTCACTTAGCATAATATCCTTCAGGTTCATCTATGTTATAGCATATGATAAGATTACTTTCTTTTTATGCCTGAATAATATTTCATTATATGTATACACCACATTTTAAAAATCTGTTCAACCATCAGTGGACATTTAAGTTGTTTTCCCCTCTTAGTTATGAATAATGCTGCAATAAATACAATAGTGCAAGTATCTCTTGGAGAGGCTGATTTCAATTTTTTGGGACAAATACTCAGAAGGGAGACCACTGAATCATATGGTTGTCCTATTTTTAATTATTTATGGAAACGATACCATTTTCAATAATATCTACATCATTTTATATTTCTACCAACAGTGCCCAAGGGTTCCAAGTTCTCCACATTGTTGCCAAAACTTGTTATTTTCTATTTTCTTTCATGATGCCATTTTAACATTTTGATTTACTTTTTTATGATTAGTGATGTAGAGCAGTGTGTCCTCTTTGCAGAAATATCTGTTCAGGTCCTTTCTCCACTAATAATTCAAATTATTTATTTATTTTTTGCTATTGAGTTGTAGAACTTCCTTATATATTTTGACTATTAACCCCTTATCAGGTATATAGCCTGCAGAAATTTTCTCGCACTTGATAGCTTATCTCTTTACTCTGTTGTTTGGTTAATTTGATGTAATCCTACTTGTTTATTTTTGGCTTTGTTGTCTGTGCTTTTAATGTCATATCCAAGAAATCTCTGGGAAAGCCAATGTCAAGAAACTTTTCCTTTATGTTTTCTTTTAGAAGCTTTATATTTTTAGGTCTTATATTTAAGCTTTTAATCTATTTTGAATTGATTTTTATGTATGGTGTAAGATAGGGGTCCAATTTTATGCTTTGGCATGTGGTTATTCAGTTCCCCAGCACAATTTTTTGAAGATGTTATTCTTTTCCAATTGTTTATTTTTGGCATCATTGTTAGACATCAATTGACCATAAATGTGTGGATTTATTTCTGTGCTCTTCATTCTGTTCTGTTGGTCTGTATGCTTGTCTTTATGCCAGTATCATAATGTTTTGATTACTGTAGCGTTGTAATATATTTTGAAACTAGGACATATGATGCTTCCAGCTTTATTTTTCTTGTTCAAAATTGCTTTGGCTTTTCAGAGTTTCCATATGAATACTAGGACCATTTTTGTATTCATTTAAAAATGCCAGTCAGATTTTGATAGAGTTTGCATTCAATATGTAGATAACTTTGAGCACTATGACATTTTTAAAAATACTATTTTTTCAGTTCATGAATACATGATATCTTTCCATTTATTTGTGTTTGCTTTAATTTTTTACATCAATGTTTTGTGGTTTTTAATCTTCAAGTCTTTCACTTCTTCTTTTTTTTTTTTTGGAGTCTCGCTTTGTCGCCCAGGCTGTAGTGCAGTAGTGCAATCTTGGCTCACTGCAACCTCTGCCTTCCGGGTTTAAGCAGCTCTTCTGCCTCAGTCTCCCAAGTAGCTGGGATTACAGGCATGCACCACCTCGCCCACTTAATTTTTGTCTTTTTAGTAGAGACAGGTTTCACCATGTTGGCCAGGCTGGTCTTGAACTCCTGATTTCAGGTGATCCATCTGCCTTGGCCTCCAAAGTGCTGGGATTAAAAGCATGAGCCACTGCACCTGGCCCTTTTCACTTCCTTGGTTAAATTTATTCCAAAGTATTTTATTCTTCTTGATGGTATTGTAAATGGTATTTTCTTAATTTCCTTTGCAGATAGTTAATTGATAGTGTGTAGAAATGTAACTAATTTTTGTATGTTGATTTTTTTTTATCCTGCAACTTTTCTAAATTCTTTTATTTTTTCCAACTTTTTTTTGCTTGTGTCTTCAGGGTTTTCTACATATAAGGAAATGTCATATGAAGAAGTAATATTACTTCTTCCTTTCTGATTTAGGTGCCCCTTAATAATTTTTATTATCTTATTGTGCTGGCTAGCACTTCCAGTACTATGTTGACCAGAAGTGGTGAGAATGCTCATCCTTGCCTTGTTTCAGAACTTAATAAAGGAAAAATTTTCAGTTTTTCACCACTGAGTATATTAGCTGTGGGCCTTTGATATATGGCCTTTATTATGTTGAGGGAAGTTCCTTCTATACCTAATTTTTTGAGAATTTTTGTGGTGAAAAGGTGTTGAATTTTGTCAAATGCTTTTTCTGCAGTTATTGAGATGCTCATGTGATTTTGATCTTTCATTTTCTTAATATGGAGTATCATTTTGGTTGATTTGAATCCAGGGATAGATCCCACTTGATCATGGTATATGACATTTTTAATGTACCTGTCCGATTTGCTTTGCTAACATTTTGTTGAGAATTTTTGCATCTATGTTCATCAAGGATATTGGTCTGTAGTTTCCTTTTCATGTGTTGTCTTTGTCTGATTTTGACATCAGGGTGATGCTGGCCTCATAAAATGAGTTTGAAAGTTTTCTCCCTTCAGACCATGTGTTGTGACTCACACCTGTAATCCTAGCACTTTGGGAGGCCACGGCAGGTAGATCACGTGACGTCAGGAGTTCTAGACCAGCCTGACCAACATGGTGAAAACCCGTTTCTACTGAAAATACAAAAATTAGCTGGGCATTGTGGTGCATACCTGTAGTCCCAGCTTCTTGGGAGGCTGAGGCAGGAGAATCGCTTGAACCCAGAGGCAGAGGTTGTAGTGAGCTGAGATGGTGCCACCACTGCATTCCAGCCTGGGTGACAGAGCAAGACTCCTGTCTCAGAAAAAAAAAGTATTCCCTCTTTTATCATTTTTTTTGAAGAGTTAAAAAAAAAGTTGGCATAATTTTTCTTCAAATGTTTGGTAGTATTCACCCATGAATTAGTCTGGAGTTTTTTGATTACTGATTTGATCTCTTTTTTTGTTATTGGCCTGATCAGGCTTTTGACTTCTTTATTTAATCTTGATAGGCTGTATTTCTAGGAATGTACCCATTTCTTCTAGGTTGTCTCGTTTATTGGCAATTACGATCTTCCTTCTGCTGACTTTGGGCTTAGTTTGTCTTTTTTTCCTAGTTTTTTGAGGTGTAAAGCTAGTTTATTTGAGATCTTTTTTCTTTTTTTTTTTTAATGGGCCTTTATTCCTATAATAGTCCCTCTTAGTACTGTGTTTGTTGTATCACTACATTTTGATAAGTTATGTTTTGTTTTTCTTTGTGCCAATATATTTTCCAATATATCTTTTGAATTCTTCTTTGACAGATTGGTTGTTTAAGAATATGTTGTTAGTTTATACATATTTGCGAATTTTCCCTTTTTAGTTCCATTATTAATTCTAGTTTCATTTTAGTGTGGTCAGAACAATTACCTGTTATAATTTAATATGTTTTTAAATCTGTTAAGACTGGTTTGTGACCTAATGTGTGGTCTATGCTGGAGAATATTTGTGTGGCTTCAGAAGAATGTGTATTCTACTGCTGTTGGGTATAATGTTCTGTATTTATCTTCTAGGTCCATTTGGTCTGCAGTATTGTTAAAGTCCTCTATTTACTTATTGACCTCCTGTTTGGATAGTCTATTTATTACTAAAAGTAGAATACCAAAAATCTTCTGCTATTATTATGTTGCAGTCTACTTCTCCCTTTAGTTCTATCAATGTTTTCTTCATGTATTTGTATGTTCTGATGTTGGGTGCATGTATATTGACAATTGTTCTATTTTCCTGGTGAATTTGTCTTTTTATTGCTATATACTGACCTTCAGTTTTTTACTTAAAGTCTCTTCTGTCATATATAAGCATGCTCTCTTTTGGTTACCATTTTCATAGAATATCGTTTTTCATTCTTTCACTTTCAGTGTGCATGTATCCTTAAATAGAAAGTGAGTTTCCTATAGAAAGCAGATACTTGGATTTTTAACATTATTCATTCAGCCATTCCGTGTCTTTTGATTGGGGTGATTAAAGCATTTACACTAAAAATAATGATTGATAGTGAAGGAGTTATGGTTACTATTTTGTTAATTGCTTTCTATTTGTCTTGTAGTTCTTTAGTTCCTCCTTTTCTCTCTTGCTCTCTTCTTTTGTGCTTCAATGATTTTTTGAAATAATGACATGCTCTTTTTAATATTTCTTTCTGACTTTATTTTGTGCATCTTCTATGCGTGTTTTCTTTGTAGTTACTGTGAGTCTTACATAAAGCATGTTGTGGTTATAACAATTTATGTTAAGCTGATAAGAATTTAACTTCAATTACATATATGAATTACATATTTTTATATTGTGAATTTATCATATTTTATAATTATAATTACTTTTTATACTTTTGTCCTTTAGCTTCTATATCATAATTAAAGGTGATTTGTACACCACTGTTAGAGTGTTATATTAATCTGCATTTGTTTTTATGTTTACCTTTATCAGCGAGTTTTATACTTTTATATGCTTTTGTGTTGCTGTTTAAAATCCTTTTGTTTCAACTTGAAGGACTCCCTTTAGCATTTCTTGTAAGGCAGGTTTATTGGTGATGAACTCCTTTATCTTTTGTTTATCTGGAAGTCTTTGTTTTATTTCATTTATGAAGGATAGTTTTGTTGGATATGATATTCTTCATTAGTAAGCAGTTTTTTGTTTGTTTGTTTGTTTTGTTCTTTTAGCACTTTGAGTATGTTATCCCATTCCCTTCTGGCCTGTAAGATTTATACAGAGTAATCCACTGGTAGTCTTATGAATGTTCCCTTGTATGTGATGAGTTGCTTTTCTCTTGCTTCTTTCAAAGTTCTATATTTGTCTTTTATTTTTTACAATTTGATTATAATGTATCCCATTGTGAATTTTTTTGGATTCACTGTAGCTGAAGGCTTTTGGGCTTCTTGAATCTTGATGTTCATTTTCTTCCCCAGATAAAAGAAGTTTTAGCTATTATTTCTTTTCCCTTTTTCTTTCTTTCTTTTTTAAATTTTATTTTATTTTGAGACAGGATCTCAGTCTGTTGCCCAGGCAGGTGTGCAGTGGTGCAATCACAGCTCACTGCAGCTTCCACCTTTCAGACTATAAGCACCTGTCACCATGCCAAACTAATATTTGTACATTTTGTAGAGATGGGGTTTTGACATTGTTGCCCAGGCTGGTTTCAAACTCCTGGGCTCAAGCAATCTGCCTCCTGAAGTGCTGGGATTACAGGCATGACCCACTTGGCCTGGGCAATCCATTATTTCTTTAAATAAGCTTTCTGCCCTCTTCTCTTTTCCTTCCTCTCCTTGGATTCCCACAATATATATTTGGTTTGCTTAATGGTGTACTCTAAGTCCCTTAGAATTTCAATTTTTTATTCTTTTTTTGTTCCTCTGACTGGATTATTTCCAATTGCTTGCCTTTGAGTTAGCTGATTCTTTCTTCTGTTTGATTAAGTCTTCTGTTGAATTCCTGTAGTGAATTTTTCCATATAGTAATTGTATTCTTCAGCTCCAAAATTTGTTTTGTCCTTTTTTAATATTTTCTGTCTCTTTGTTAATATTCTCATTTTGTTCATGTATCATTTTCTTGAGTTCATAAAATACTCTATAGTGCTTATTTTGAAATATTTCTCAGGGTATTCACTTATCTCCATTTCTTCGGGATTGATTTCTGGAGATTTGTTTTTTTCTCCTTTGGACCATGTTTCACTGTTTCTTCAGGTGTTTTGTAAATTTATATTAAAATTCACACATTTGAAAGAAACAGCAACCTCTCCAGTCTTTACAGACTAGCTTTGTGCAGGGAAGACCCTCATCACCCAGCCTGGCTAAAAAATTCTTGGGGCCTCTGAAGCCTTTTGTTTTATAGGAGGATGATATGACTTCTCTGGGCCTGTGTGTGCAATTCCTCAATTAGAGAGGCTTCCTGTTTTTTTTTTGTTTTTTGTTTGTTTGTTTTTTCAGGAACTCATAATTTCTTGCTTTCTCTGGTGTCTGTGCAATACTGCAAGTTATTTGATTCTTTAATTCTATAGCAGCATGCCTCCTTGCTCTTCCTTATTCTAGTGGCCACCAGATATCTGAAGTATGCTGGCTCTCTGTCAGCACCCCAAAATCAGGTAAGACAGAAACCAGTTCCTTGGGCAGACCTCAAAAAAGCTGGAATGTTGGATGTATGTGCTACCTTTCTTTTTTTTCCCTCGAGGGAGAAGTTACCAGTCAGGGCATTCTCTACCAGCACTGAGATTTGCTGGCTGGAGGGAAGGGCTAACCTGGTTAAAATGAAATTGCTTGCTGGGCATGGTGGCTCACGTCTATAATCTTAGCACTTTGGGAGGCCAAGGCTGGAGGATCACAGAAGATTGGGAATTTGAGACCAGCCTGGCCAACATGGTGAAACCTCATTTCTTTTAAAAATACAAAAAAAAAAAAAAAATTAGCTGGATATGGTGGTGTGTGCCTGTAATCCCAGCTACATAGGAGTCTGAGGCAAGAGAATCGCTTGAACCCAGGAAGCAGAGGTTGCAGTGAGCTGAGATGGCACTCCAGCCTGGGCGACAGAGGGAGACTCCATCAAAACAAATAAACAAACAAATAAATAAACAAACAAAATTAAAGTGAAATTGCTCTTCTTAGCCATTTAAATATATTTATTCTTGTCTTTTTGCTTGCCTAGGGTACTTCAGCTTCTTACCTGGATTCTAGAATTCTCACAAAGGTATTTTGGTCTATGTATCATTGCTAAATTGTTTTTTCTGTGGGAAACAAGAGCTGAGACTTTCTTTTACACCATCTTAGACATCCTGGTTTTTTTTTTCCAGAGTTTCATTGATAGCAAAACTCTAGAACTTCAGGAAGAGACTATATGTAAAATAAGATTCCAGCATTTCTTCCAAATTACAGCTTTCTAAAACTTAAAAAAATAGGGAGAAACAATCATGACTAGAAGTTTCTTTTTTGCTTGATTTATTTATTTTCAAATCTCCCTTTAAGGAAAAATATGTATACTGCCCATAATATTTTTCCAGTATGATAACACTGAAAACAATGACAATAAAAAGATAAAATAGGAGTTTCTTACACATTTTATAGTTCTTTTATGAGTTATAGATCAAATACTTTTGTGAAGATCATACGAGGCATATTTCTTTGATATAAATATTTAAAACATAATCTTATTTTAAAAAGAAAAATTCTAGCCATAGCCATAAATTATAATTACAATTAGTCCCTGACATAATTGATTATTGCTGGGTACACTAGTAAACTGAATTGTAACAGTGGATTTGTGGTTGATACCTCTAAAATATTTGCATAGTACAATTTTGAAAAATGATGAAATTATAGTTTTTTAAACAATAACTGCTTCAAAGATTTTTTTCAGGTACTCAAAATGCCATGGAACATGAGCCAAACAGACAAAATATGGGCAATTTTCACCCAGCAAAATTGAAAATAAAAGAGACAAGCATTTTCAGATGACCTGTCGTCAATCTGTGTTAACTTCCCATCAAATTCACAGGGGAACAAAAATGCCCTTTTGGTACTCTCCTTGACAAAGAAGCATCACTCTCTGACTTATGGGAAAGAATAAGTGCTCCTGAGAGCTGCTCCAGCCAGAGCTGGCTCTGAAGAGTTATAAGTCCATAAAAAATGTTTTCTTTAAGTGGCCTTCAGAACCCCAGACTTCACAACATCTCATTAGCTTTTGCTTTCAAGTGTTCTTAATTGATAGAATAAATTTTCTTTAGAAGCTACATTCAAATCTCCTTTTAATGCTTTTGTAAGTGATTATATTAATAATCAGGGAATGAAAATGATTTAAGGAGATGCCTGTTTTTTCATATTTATTTTGTCTTATTTAGAATTTCTCTATATACATTTACTTTACAAGCTGACTAGAGCTAAGCTAGAATGCCAAAAATGTGATACAATATTATTCATTAAGTCCTTTTTTTGGCACTCTACTATTACCCATAGTACTTGCTTAGAACTAAAAAAGATGAACACAACATGCAAAGTTCTTGCTTTCTAGGTCTCCCCAGTCTGGGTGAGGGGGACAATTAACCAAATAAAGTTTATTTCAGATAGTTGTTCATAGTTTTACTATAATACAGTTTCCAGGAAGGCAGGACTTTTTTCTGTTAAATTCAATAATAGATTCCATATTTCCCAAACACTGCCTGGCGAGTAGTAGACACAGGACAAATATCTATCAAATGGGAATGACTGTGATGTGATGGGAAATGACAAGAATGGAGAGGGCTATGCTGACATTGTGGTCATGGGAGTTCACTTCGAGAAAGTCACATCACATTTTGGCTGAGACCCGCAGGATCAGGCCAGTCGTGTGCTGGTCTAGACAGAGAGAACATCCTAGAGCATAGAGCTAGTGCAAAGACTTTAAGACAGAGCTGGGCTTGGTAAGTTCAAGGAGCAGAAATACCACTGTGTCAGGAACATCATGAGTGATCATTATCTGATAAGGAGAGATGTAAGCAGAGCCAGAGTGAAGTGTACTATCATATAGCAAATGTTTGGTTCTACTTTTATCTTTGGGTTATTGAAGGATTTTATGCAGGGAAGTAAGCAAATATGATTTGCTTTTTTTAAAAAAAATTATTTGGGGAAGCCCAGAGAAGGTTCTTTTTTTTATTTCAATGGGTTTTTGGGGAACAAGATGTGTTTGGTTACATGAACAAGTTCTTTAGCAATGAATTTCTGAAATTTTGCTGCGTTCATCACCTGAGCAGTGTACACTGTACCCAGTGTGTAGTCTTTTATCCCTCACACTCCTCCCACCCTTTTCTACAAGTCCCCAAAGTCCATTGTATCAACCTTATACCTTTGCTTCCTTATAGCTTAGCTCCCACTTATGAGTGAGAACATACGATGTTTGGTTTTCCATTCCTGAGTTACTTCACTTAGAATAATGGTCTCCAATTTCATTGAGGTTTCTGTGAATGCCTTTATTTCATTCCTTTTTATGGCTGATTGGTATTCCACAGTGTATATAGACCACATTTTCTTTATCCACTTGTTGATTGACGGGCATTTGGGATAGTTCCATATTTTTGCAATTGCAAATTGTGCTGCTATAAAAATGTGTGTGCAGGTATCTTTTTTGTATAATGATTTCTTTTCCTCTGGGTAGATACCCAGGAGTGAGATTGCTGGATCAAATGGTAGATCCACTTTTAGTTCTTTAAAGAATCTCCACACCGTTTCCCATAGTGGTTGTACTAGTTTACATTCCCACCAACAGTGATTTGCTTTTTAATAACAGCCCTCTTCAGGGAGCAAGATTGGAAACAGGAACTACTGTGGTAGTCTTGTGAGAGAAGGTGAATTGCAGCAGAATAAAGATGGAAAGAATTCTATTCAGTATAATGGTAGATATAATAGCACTTATTAATGGTATGAATGTGGATGATGGGAGAAAGCCAACTCCAAGATTACTTCTTTGGGTTTTATACTGATAGAAATTTTATTCCTTTTCTGAGTTTATTTAGTTAGCAGGTAACACATTTTCCAAAAAGCCTTGTTAAGCAAATTACGAGTTTTTGAAAAAGGCAAGCAAAAAAATGTATTGCATAAGGAATGCTATTGCCTCTCCATGTCCTATGTATATTCAGGACTAATTTTTCTAGGAGATAGGAAAGATTGCTAATGGATTGAAGAGAAAATCTACGATTAGAGAGACTTCAAAACCTGTGAGGAGGGCATGATCAAGAGGAAGATTGGAAGCAGAGAACTGTGTACCCCTCAAAGTAGTACACTCTATACTTTAAGGTGCATGTGGACCATAAAACATCATTTATTCAAAATGCTAAAAGACTGAGCTTTTCTACATGGCAAATTGTCTGAAGAACTGAGGGTTTGCTTTTCAACGCACCTACTTTTAAATTTTAATCTTTCTACTTGGAAATTATCCTATGATATGTTCAATACACCTTGGCCTTCTAATTTGAATACAATTTAAACTTATCCTGAATAGCCAGGTAACTTTAATGTAATAATAACTACCATTTATTGAGTGCTTATTGTATGCCAGGCACGGTATGAAACACTTTCACTTGGTCCTCTTTATAGCCCTCTGCAGTAATGGCTGTTATTATTCCCACTTTTTAAGATGAGGAAATTGTGGCTCAAGAAGTAGGTAACCTAAGTGATGTTATACAGCTAACCAATGACAATACATAGAATAAACAAAAAGTCTTAGTAGTTTTAGAAAATGTATAGAGTTTATTGAGTAAAGCATAAGTGATTACATATCTCTTTCTCTAACAATGAGAACTCAGTGATATTATTATCAGTAATGTTCTATAAAATGAACACCTTTTTCCTTCCATTCCAAAAGAAGAGAGACTGTAATGGAATTACAGTGCCACTTCACAGACCAGAAGAACCTGATTATGCCAATAAGGACACAGACAATGAGGTCTCGATTTCGAAAGTAAGGAGTCTCTAGAATCACTCAGCTCAACTGGCATTTTGCAAAGTACTTTTTTGTGAGGCAAAATTTGTTATAGGGAGCAATAATAAGAATTCATCTTATGCAACAACAAAATAAGTATAATAATAAAAATTAAATTTAATAATAAAAAATTAAAATGAAAACTAAGAGGTGGAGGAAGAGAAAAAAGACAACAAGGGAAAGAAGAAGTAGAGAAAAAGGAGAAGAAGAAAAGGAACAGGAGGAGGAGGGCAGAAAGGGCAGGAGAAAGAGGAGGAAGAAATCAATGACTAATGAAATCTATGAGGCAACCATCATGGTAAATACATTATGTACATCATCTCCTTTCAGGCTGACAATCACCTCATTTTTCACATGAAGTGACTGTACACAGGGGGGTTAGTAATGAGAAGAATCTCACTCAGTGAGTAAATAACATGTCTTGAATCCAGGTCTTTCAGATTCAGAAGGCTGTGCTCTTACTAACATGTAAGGTCTATATAGGGAGCAAATGCATATAGAACAAAAAGTGACTTTATTATTAGCTGAATTAGAAAATTCTATGGGAATCCATTGTCTTCATTTTAGATTTTATTGCATATAAATAAGTATAATGCACTTTACTTTGTGTCTATTTTTAAGTAGGGTGTTATTAAAGTAGCCTCCAGTTAAAGACCTCCAGGAGTAAACATGTGTGCCTGCATGTACACACACACTCAGATAGTCATTTAGTTCCTATCAACTGTAAGTCAAGATTTTGACTCCCCAGAGTAGACTAAGCCAAGGGAAAACTGCATAGAGCACATAGCTGACGACTTTCTGAATGGTCTGCAAATCCCTTTAGAGCTTACACTTTTAAAACTTAATTTTAAATTCTCATTATATGGTTTTTACCCAGGAACCCCATCTGGATTTCAAAGGTGTGTTTTTATATAGAAACATCGTGGAAAAAAGAAGAGTCTTAGATTTAGTTGCCCTAGAATTAGACACTGAGATAAGGGGATGAGTGCAAGTAATTTGTCTTGGGGGTGACCCTGGGAAGCAGATTATGGAAGGAGAGCAGTGAGGTATGGAAGAAACGGGACCAATAAAAACACATTATTGAGCCAACTACTGCTTTGAACAATCAAGGCTCAATTCCACGGAGAAATTTTGAGAGACAGATCAAAATCCATTTCAGAATTATCCTCACTGAGGTACCAAGGAGTTGGACTATTTGTCCAGCAACTTGTATCAGCTATTGATGGAGGGCCAGTCCCCAGGGGCATTAACCTCAGGCCTTGGGCCTGCTCTGCATTTGTGAGACGAGCAAACTCCCACGACTAAAGTCCTCTTGGGAAGAGTCATAGCTGCACATGAGCATGCAAGGGAATGAGAAGTGCGGAGGAGATACAGGGAAGGACACCAACAGTGTCAGTGACACATGCATCCTCACCCAAACAGAGGTAGCCCACCATAGGCTCCGGTTTCCAGGAAATGATTCATCTCTCTTCTGCGTAATCACATCCTCTCCTCCCTTCAGAGCATCACAGTTTTCACAAATGCTCTCCCATATTTTTCTGTCTTCTATGAAGCAGCCATGCAATATGAGATTACCTGAGTCAATACTAATTGCTATTTTAATGTGGTTTAATCATCAAATCAAATACTATTGACCAAAAATAAAATATATACTATTATAATTGGCCGGGCGCGGTGGCTCACGCCTATAATCCTAGCACTTTGGGAGGCCGAGACGGGCGGATCACAAGGTCAGCAGATCTAGACCATCCTGGCTAACACGGTGAAACCCCATCTCTGCTAAAAATACTAAAAATTAGCCAGGCGTGTTGGCAGGTGCCTGTAGTCCCAGCTACTCGGAAGGCTGAGGCAGGAGAATGGCGTGAACCCGGGAGGCGGAGCTTGCAGTGAGCCGAGATCGAGTCACTGCACTCCAGCCTGGGCGACAGAGCACGACTCCGTCTCAAAAATAAATAAATAAATAAATAAATAAATAAATAAATAAATAAATAAAATATAATTAAGGCACTGTATAAGGCAGTAATTACAGTCGATACAAAGATAGATAAGATGATCCTTATCCTCTGAATATCTCCCAGTCTTCGTATGTAGAAGATATATATACACAATGAACTAAGATAGAAGACAAAATAAAGTCTATTTATTTCCAGTGTGAACTTTTCCTGATCAATCCAGCCTAAAGTTATCACCACTATCTCTAAATTCCTATTATGTGATTTTGCCCAATTTGCCTGACATTAAGTCATGACGGAAGAGTTTTAGTACTATTGGTGAAAATGGTGTTAAGAGAGAGCATTATGGGCTGGGTGTATGCAGTGACGGAAGTCACAGAAATAGGAATGGCATGTCTTAACTTTGTTTTCATTCAAACTGGAGCACACCCCATCTCTCCTAATTGTGCAAGTTTGAGTTCATTTTGTTTTATAGAAGATACTGGACCATTGAAGCTCACATCATTGAGTAGGGGTCCCCCTTCAAGTGTCCAGCGTGTACTGGTGTTTGGGTAAGAGTGATCGATGATCTTAATATATTATTTATTTTGAATACAGACTAATTAGAGTGAGTTTTGGAAGACCTACAATGTTCTCTTTTCTAGTGAAAGAGCAGTTTAGACTGCATTGGGTCAGGAGAGTCTAGGCTTTTATTTCAGTGTAAAGGGAAGGTGGAAATTTAGGGTGAGTTGCCCTTATCAAAGATCATTTTGGGATTTTTATGTATCAAAATAATTCTATTAAAAAATCTCTTTAAGTTGATGAAGTACATAATCATAAATCTACCTTCTAATGTTAAACCAAACTTACATTTCTAGGACAAATCCAGTGTGGTATGAATGTATAATTATTATACATAAATTTTACATTGCTGTGTTCAGTTTGCTAATATTTGTCTAAGATTTTTTTGTTAATATTAATGAGAGATTGGCTTACACTTTTCATTTCTCATACTGTCTTTGTCAGGTTTTGGTGTCTTGGTCAAAAAAAGCATCAATAAATAAGTAGAGAGTCTGTTTTTCTTTTTGCTGCTTTCTGGGAGTATTTATGTATGATAGGAATGATCTAATTTTTGAATGTAAGTAGAGCCTACCTGTAGTCTGTCGTATTCCTTATAGACATATTTATACTAGTGATTCAATTTCTGCAAAATTTATGGGACAATTTTCTGCTTTTATGTTTATTTGAGCCATATAGATTTTATCTATTTAAACCTAAGTTTTAAAATTTGTTGGTACACAATTGTTCATAATATTCTTTTAAGTCTTTGCTGCAATAGAATGCCTGCTCATTATTCTTTCATATTCTTAATGTTCTTTATGTATGCCTTCTCACACTTCTCTTTATCAGTCATGAGAGGTTTGTTTTTCAAATAAACCAAGGTTTTTGTATCATTATTATATCTTTTAAACTGTATATTCCAGTAATTTCTACTCATTTATGTTTCTTACGATTTTTTCTTTGGGATTAATCTGTTTTCTCTGTTTTTTCTAAATTCTCGAGTTGAAACCTGCACGTTCAGCTTCCCTTATTGTCTAATGAGTAATTTTGCCTGTATTATGTTCTTTTTTATTGATACTTTAACTGCATCCTACTTTTAAATATAATAATTTTATTTATTTTAATCATTATAATTTTTATCTTTTATGTCAACTATTTTTATTAGACCCATTAGTCATTTAGAAATGTGTTTATAAACTCTAAAACATTTAGAATTTCTCCATGTATACACATATGCACATAGAAAAAAAATCTTTACATCTTTATATGTATGAATATTAATTATATTCTTGCTGTTGGCTTCTAATTTAATACTTTTGTTATTTAAAGGGATCTGTGTGATACTGCTGTTTTGAAATTTGTTTACAGATTTTATTTGACCATAAATATTCTAAAACAAATATTTCATGTTTGCTTTATTTGAAAATATATTTGGAAATTATTTCCTATAATATTCCATATACATCCACTAGATTTACTCCCTTAGCTTTATATTATTTGAATCTCTAAGAGAGTTATTAATTTTCTTGTGCATTAGGTATACACAATAAATAGAAATATAAATTAGAAGAATGTTCTTTGTTTCTAGTAATGATTTTTGTGTTATTTTGTCTATATAGCAAGTCAAGCATTTTTATTTTAAATTTTCTATTATGTGATTTTGCTATTTGTTTTAATGCTTTCCTCTCTCCTGTCCTTTTGCTTTCAATTTTCTCTTTATATTTTCTTATAATTTGAATATAATTTTATTTAAAAACATAGGCATTTGTTTACTTTGATATAGTCTGTTAGTCTTTATTTTAATAACTTGGTGCAAAAGTACCAAGTTAAAACAGTATGAAATACTAAGTTTTTGCACCAACCTAATAATACTGGATTTTAGCCAATTTCAATATATATTGAAGGTATATATCTCTTCAATTTTATGTTGTGGTTTTCATTTTTTCTTATAAGTTTTAAGAAATCTTTTCTTTTATATAGTTTTCTTTTGGGTAAATTGCTTGATTTTCTTTTTCCTTATTCAACTCTCCCTTCATCTTACGTCCCAGGAGTGCCTTGGAAGTGAAACATTGCATTTCTCTTGCATTAGTAGATAATGTAATATACTTATTTTTAGTTATAAATTCTAACTTTCATTCATTTCTTTACTCTTTTTTAAATAAAAGAATTTAGATATGTTAACTCTGATCATTTATCTGTTGACTTAGATGTTATCCAGCATTTTAGTTTATCTTTCTTTTTTTTAACATTACCATAATACACTTACTATTATAATTTAATACTATCATTGGTTATTTATATTCTCTCTGTTGTGTTTACAAATTTATTTGCTCACTCATTTTTGAATCTCAGCTCTTTCTCTTGGAATAATGTTTCTTTTTCCTAAAGTTTATTTTAAAATATCTTCCTTTGTAAGGATATGTTAGAGGTAAACTCTGAGTTTTTCTCTCTCTCTCTCTCTCTGTGTGTGTGATTATGAACCTCACTAGATCACTGTGATTCTTAAATGATAGTTTCCCTCTATATGATACTGCTCCATGCAACTTTCAATCCAATGTCTTTAAAAAACAATCAACTGTCTCTCTAGTGGATTTCCTTTTATTTACCTTGCTTAAGAGTAAATATTACCTTAAAATCTGAAGTTGTCTTTTATCAGTTTGAGGAAATTCTCAATCATATTTTTTTCACTATTGCTTCTTACATTATCTTGAGTTCCAACTTCTAGAATTTGGAATGAGAACTTCTCATTGTTTTATCTGTCTCAGATTTTCTTTCAGATATCCCATCTCTTTGCCTCTTTGTGGTTTATTCTGGGTATTTTCCATAATTCTGTCTTCTAGTCAATGGAATTTCCCTGTTATGCTATTCAGAATTTCCACTCAGTATGTGTCTTTATGATATATGTCTTTTGTATGTTTGTATATGAATCATAAAGTATATTTTTTCAATTTGAATGATTCATTGAATGATTCATCTTTATTGTCTCTTATCCACCCTCATATTTTTAATTTATAATTTTTGTTCCTTAAATATATTCTGCATATAACTGTTATTTCTGGACTGTTGCTCATGGATCCTTCTATCTACCTTATTTTATTATTTTAATTCTAATATGTATTAGAACTTTATTGGTAGGTGGTTCTTGAGTTTTAGATAATTAGTGTATGCTTCCAGTGATTATGTGAGTTCCCTCTTCCAGATATCTGGGAGTATTATCAACCTAAATCCTTTAAACTAAATTCTTGACTTGAATTTGGGTCTGAAGGCAAATGATAGCCAGTGAATAATTATGATTCCTCATGGGACACTTTGTTTTTCTCCTGTACTTACAGTTAGAGTTAAGACGATTTTCCTCCAGGTCCCCTTGTGGAGTAATATATTTTTTTTCCTAGTTTACAGTTGCACAGAAGGTTTGGTACCATGGGGGACTCGGCATTATGTGGGAGATTTACGATTCACTCTCCATGTTATGTGGATTTGGGGAATGCCTTTTGTGCACTTGATGTGATTATTAAAACCTTGGCTTACCCCTCTGGATTTCTGTTGCTGTTTTATTTTTGGACTCTGGGGACTTCTCTTTATTTCAGCAAAGAGTTTTTTAAAATGTATTATTTAGTATCTTTAGCTATTGTGTAGTGAGGTAGTTTCTTATCATATCTAATGTGCTACATTGCCCGAAATGAAAGTCTCAAATTAGTTTTCAAGGTTTATATCTAAATTATTCTCAAAATGGACAAACTTAATTATCTTCTGACAATTACTGAAGCGGCTGGGAGGTAAAATAAAATCCCACTTCCTTCCTTCTGTTGAATATTATCTTCCTTTTCTACTTTATGTATTTTTTATTTATAACTTCTCTCTTGATCTGGATTTATAAATGAACACTGATAGATAAATATTGATCAACTCTGAAACTTCAAGTGTGAAAGACAGTGGAGAGGAGGATGAGTGTCTGCAATTCAGAAAGTTTTCCTTTTTTTGTTTTGTTTTGTTTTGTTTTTTGAGTTGGAGTCTCGCCCTATTGCCAGGCTGGAGTGCAGTGGCACCCTCTCAGTTCACTGCAACCTCCGCCTCCCGGGTTCAAGTGATTCTCCTGCCTCAGCCTCCTAAGTAGCTGGGACTACAGGCACCTGCCACCATGCCTGGCTAATTTTTGTATTTTTAATAGAGACAGGGTTTCACCATGTTGGCCAGGATGGTCTTGATCTCTTGACCTTGTGATCTGTCTGCCTCAGCCTCCCAAAGTGCTGGGATTACAGGCGTGAGCCACCGCGCCTGGCCCAGAAAGTTTTCAAAGCCCATAAAGAGCTTAGACTGCATCTGATGTTTCTGGTGCTATGGCTTTGTGTTTAGTAATCTTTTCTGCTTAGTGCCAGGAAGTGCTTTTAAGTCAACTCATAGTACAAGCAAGAAGATATGCAACAAGCAATGGGTCAAAAAGAAATTTAAGTTAACAATGCAAATATGGAATTATGTTTTACTTCCACAATTACCCACACTGAGCTTCTATTTTCTGTTCTCTTATTTTACAGTATTAGTGTTTTTTGTTTCTTTATTTTTTGATGGAGTCTCATTCTGTCACCCAGGTTGAAGTGCAGTGGTGCGATCTCAGCTCACTGCAACCTCCACTTCCTGGGTTCAAGCGGTTATCCTGCCTCAGCCTCCCAAGTAGCTGGGATTACAGGTGTGTGCCACAACACCCTGCTAATTTTTTTCGTGTTTTTAGTAGAAACGAGATTGGCTAGACTGGTCTCAAACTCCTGACTTCAAGTAATCCACCTGCCTCGGCCTCCCAAAGTGCTGGGATGATTGGCGTGAGCCACCATGCCTGGCCACAACAGGACTAGTTTTGACATTTTATTTTTGACTAGTATATGAGATTATTCTCCTCTTAGAAATTTCTCTCTTGAGAAGGAAAGTGACCCTGGATTTTGCCCTCAGGCTACCCTAACCACGAAAGCAAGATTTGATAATGCATTGCTTTTGTTTCTGAACTCATGATTTAAATTATACCCCCACTAATTATCTTAAGCAACACCCACTACTATAGCCTTAATAATTGCCACATAATAAACTTAAAGATACTGGGGAGGCTGATAACTGTATTTTTCTTTGTTGATTAGGCTTGTTGCTTTGTTTTACATTAGTTTTCAAAGCAATTGTAGAAAAGAGAACATCCATAACAGCTTTTGTACTGAATCAGTGTGTGCATACTGCTGATATTCTGGAAACACTTTCACTCATCTTATTAATTTATACTTAGGGAGTAGGCAATTTTCACATTTTATTTGGAGATGATAAACCATAATGGATCTAAACATGTGAAGATACATATTTAATGCACTTTAATGCCTTTATGGGCTCACTGTTAAAATGTACAGCCCTAAATAAATCTATGTAGGAATGCTTACGCTATCACTGCTACATTCCCTACAGAGCTATGAATATGTTTTAGTCAAAGCTCCACGACTCCAACTTGTTGAAATATTTCTATCTCTGCAAGTTTTGCTTGGTATTAGGATTCCACTGGTCAATGAGTTTAACGCGCTATTGTGTATTATGAATACAGAGTTAAAGACCAGCCTTGATTTTGCTCCCAACAAAACATTTAAGGCTAGTACTTTCTGGACAATAACTTGGGAAACTGATGTAATTATTATTGTGGATATCATCTGCTTGTTTTTATTATTAATGATGTTGAATGTCTCCTCTCGCCATGGATATCAGCTTTTAATTGTACAAAATCCGTGCCATTTTTACTGCTATTCACATTTTATATTTGTTTATTGCTTGGTTTTGTTTTATTTTTGGGTATGGAGGTCTCACTCTTTCACCAAGGCTGGTCTAAACTCCTGGCCTCAAGTGATCCTCCTGCCGCAGCCTTCCCAGTGGCTGGGATTACAGGCATGAATCACTGCTCCTGCCACACATTTTATATTTGGAGAATATAAATAAACAACTTTGAATAATAATTGGCTAAAGTTTATTAGGACATTATCAGTAAAAAGCCATGACTTTTATTATTGCCTTGTTTCCTTTCATACAACAGAGTTTTAATGTGGGTGTTTTGATAACTCTTTTTTTACATGAAGAAACAGTCTTCCTGAAGTCACACATTCAGTGAATACTGGAACTTATATTGCAACTCAGATCATTCTCCTCTAGAAATGAGCATGGCCTTGAGACAATGATTTAGGAAGAAAAAAAGAGCAAGTACAACATATACTGTCATGTAGAAACCTGAGATCTTGTTAAGGTTTTATTACCGGTAATAACTGCAACCTTAAGCAAATATCCAGGAAAAGATCTGTGTGCCTATCATTAGTTTCATTTTATGGATTACTGCGCCAGAAGTGTAGAATTAAGAATACTAACTTTAGGAGGTCCTTTTAGAGATCGTGCAGATTAAGCTGCACATTATGCCAATAGTAAATTTATACTTTTGAAAAGAGAAATGATGTCTTCTAAATACAGGCTTGTTTTCTTCTTTTATTTCACATTTATTGGTGATTTTATGTACAACAGAAGGTAAATTGCTTAAGGGTAGACATTGTGCATGCCTTATCAGGCACAGAGTGGAGTCTTGACAATGTCTTTCTGTAATATATTAAGTGAATGGAAACTATCTGTAAAACATTTGACCCACCCTGTATATACTAGTTCAATAACTTATCAATTTAACTGATGCATAACAAAAATCAATGAGATAATTTATGTGTACATGTTTTAATTATACATGAAGCTCTGAATTTTCTTTTTTATAACTGAGGTTCAGGGGTAAAGTTCAAGTTTGTTATATAGGTAAATTCATGCCACTGGGGTTTGTTGTACAGACTATTTCGTCAACTATTAAGCCTAGTACCCATTAGCTAATTTTCCTGATCGTTTCCCTCCTCCCACACTTCACCCTCCGATAGGCCCCAGTGTGTGTTGTTCCCCTCTATATGTCCATGTGTTCTCATCGTTTAGCTCCCACTTATAAGTGAGAATATGTGGTATTTGGTTTTCTGTTCTTGTGTTAGTTTGCTAAAGATAATGGCCCCCAGCTTCATCTATGTTCCTGCAAAAGACATGATCTTGTTCTTTTCTATGGCTGCATTATATTCGATGGGCCACATTTTCTTTATCCAGTCTACCATTGATGGGCATTTCGGTTGATTCCATGTCTTTGCTATTGCGAGTAATGATGCAATGAATGTATGTGTGCATGTGTCTTTATGATAGAATGATTTATATTCCTTTGGGTATTTACCCAGTAATGGGGTTGTTGGGTTGGATGGTAGGTTTTTTTTTTTTTTTTTTTTTTTTTTTTTTTTTTTTGAGACGCAGTCTGGCTCTATCACCAGGCTGGAGTGCAGTGGCGCCATCTCGGCTCACTGCAAGCTCCGCCTCCCGGGTTCACGCCGTTCTCCTGCCTCAGCCTCTCCGAGTAGCTGGGACTACAGGCGCCGCCACCACACCCGGCTAATTTTTTGTATTTTTAGTAGAGACGGGGTTTCACCGTGGTCTCGATCTCCTGACCTCGTGATCCGCCCGCCTCGGCCTCCCAAAGTGCTGGGATTACAAGCGTGAGCCACCGTGCCCGGCCGTTTTTTTTTTTTTCCAGCATGTGACTCCAGATTATATTCTTGGTGACCAAAATGGTCTCTCTGACTTTTGTCTCTCTGTTGAAAATAGCAATAATAAATGATAGCTACTGTAATCATCATCATTATTATTAATGAGTTTTTATAAAGTCTTTGGCTCTGCCCCAAGTTCTTCTAAAGTTACTTTCTCAAATTATTTCACAAACCAACTCTGTGCAGTAGATGATATTCTGTCAATTTTACAGATGAGGAAACAAAAGCTTAGAGAAATTAGATAACTTACCCAAGCGAGTGAATAGCAGAACTGAAATTTTGTACCCCTCTTCCTCTGGATCATTCTTCTCTCTTTATCTTGGTCTCTTGATTACTTACTTAATAGCATCTATAACAATATGCAGCTATCTACTTTTTCTTTCCTTTCGCTTCCACCAAAATGCAAGCTTCATGGCAGCAGGGTCTATTTCTGTGCTTTCTCTGTTACATCCCCAGCGTGTAGCACACAGCCTGCCACACAAAAGATACTTATGTCAACAGTATTTTCTGAAAGAGTGAATGAATATTTGATTCCAATGTCACCTCTGGGGCTGCTATACATAGGAGAGAAAGTTTCTACTAAGCAGATATTCCATTTTAAGGAGGGAAATCCAGGTTTTAATGTAGCTAATGATTTAGTTTGCTAAAATTAGAAATGAGGTAATTTCATAAGAATTTTATGTTACAATTTAGTATGTTGAATTACTGAGTCTGGAGAGCACAGTTGAAATGTAACTTAATTACTGCCATCATCTATTTGAGGGAAATTGTAATGAGGAGGGTGACCAGCTGTTCCCCATGTGCGCTGAGTGTAGAACAGGAAGAAAAGGGCTTATATCAAAAGCACAACAATTAGGCCAGTCTCAGAAAGGGCTGGAAGATACTGGAGTAAGTTTTTGAGATGTTATAAAAAATAAATTATTCCACCTTTTTTCTTTCTTTTCTTATTTTGAGACAGGGTCTGCTTTATTGCTCAAGCTGGAGGGCAGTGGCACAATCACAGCTCACTGCAGCCTTGAACTCCTGGGCTCAAGGAATCCTCCCACCTCAGCGCCCTGAACAGCTAGGCATGTGCCACCATGACTGGCTCATTTTTCAAAATATTGTTTATTTTTTGTAGAGATGGAATCCTGCTATGTTGACCGGGCTGGTTTCAAACTCCTGGCCTTAAGCAATACTCCCACCCCAGCCTCCCAAAATGGGATTACAGGCATAAGCCACCACGCCTGGCTTCCACCTACTCTTACTGACTTGTCTTTATGCCATCAGGTGATGTGTTCAACAGTTTGACTATTCCCTTTCTGAATCCCAGTAGCCCTGGTCTCGCTAGAAATGTGAAAGGCCAAGCTCACAGCCATCACTGTGAATGGTGCCCCTCTTATATTTAATTCTATATGTTCTTGTACCAGCCAGTGAGATGAGAGATAATTAGTTTTATAAGTGAGGCAATTTGCAGCTTGTGAAAAAGTAAAGGACTTGTTTGAATACCATTTAGATTGCATAACCATTCTGGATTTAATTTTCTTAATGTATTTGTACTTCTCATGTTTGATAATATCACTAAGAAATAGATGTAATCTTCCAAAATGATGATCAATTAATCAAATTATTTGATTAATTAATCAAATTAATCAAATAATGTCCAAAATGGACAATTAGTTGAATCAAATATCCAAATCTGTAATTGATTACATAAGGAAGAAGCATAATTGTCCCTGGCATTCTCACAGATGGTAAAATGAAAGAACATTGGGTAGGTCTGTTTTTCCCTCTTGTAGAACTACATTCTTTGTTTTGTTTAGTTTGGGGTAAAGCTAATCAAGAAATTGGCATAAGCTTCTTGTGGGCTGCAATTCTACCCAACATACTTTCTCATGCACAATGTTTTTAATTCAATTAATATTTTTGAGTGCCCATTATTTCAGGTGGTGGTAGGTTGACCAAAATTGAAGGCAAAGTACAGACAAGGTTTTAAAAGGAACTTAAGTCTTAGCTCTGGTTACTCACAGATGCCAAGCACCAGAAAACACCACGTGAGTGTAAAATATTTCCAACATGTTTTACAAGCGAAAGAAACACAGTGCTGCCTGTACATTTCAAGGAAGAGCTATGCTAGCCTAGAAGACTTTTTAAGGACATAACTCTAAAGCCAGTTCAAATATTTTTCTTTCACTAATTTGCTGTATGACTAAACAAGTTACTTAATATTTTTGTACACAATTTTCTCATCCTCTGAGTGGGGATAATAACAGGATCTCCTTGTTGGTTTGTGATGATTAAATGTCATGTATACATGTGTGTATACATGTGTGTATATGTATACACACAATTACCAAAATGGTTGGTGAACTAGTTTGTGGGCCAAATTTGGCCTACCACTTGTTTTTGTAGAGTTGAGGGACTAAGAATAGCTTTTACATCTTTTAAAGGTTGAAAAAATCAAAAAGAAGTACAGTACTTTGCAATACATGAAATATTCTATGAAATTTAATGTCCATACACTTAGTGTTCATAAATAACGCAATTATGCTCATTTATTAATGCACTGTTTATGACTACTTCACTCTACAAAGGCAGAGTTAAGTAGTTGTGACAGACACTCTATAGGCTGCAAAGACTGAACTATTTATTATGTGGCTCTTTACAGAAAAAAAAATGCTGAATTCTGGCTTATAACTTATAACCTTGGCTGACATGTAGTAATTGCTACAAATTGCTTGTTATTATGCTTATTTAGCTATTTTCTAATTTAGAATAATAATTTAGTTTGAACTTGTGCATAGAGACTTCTTTGTTTTAGAGGCTTAATGTAATAAATGAAAGGATAGTCATGTGATTGTAAAGTACAAACAAGCATATATTTGATTCAGATGTTTGTTTTCTTGTTGTAACTTGGAATTTCATTAAGAATGAATTTATCTTAAACCTCTTAATCTAGGCAGGTGGACCTTTAAAGCTATGTGGGCCTAATAAATTTGGTAACCGATCTAACCAATATAATCGTCATATCATAGATTACAGTTGTAAAATCCTAACTAAAGCTCATGGGTTTTATCCACTATACTTCTCTTCTCCCACCCTTACCCCACTATGGAAAATGAATTATCTTTGAAAGTACCTAAGTACTGTGAACAAAGAGGAGATAGAATTAATATTCCTGAGGCAGACCCAATTATCACCTCTGTAGGAATCTAACTCAAACCAACAGATGGATGCCAGGTCAGCATTCACCTTCTCTCTGGTGCAAAATTTCCTCTCCAATGTCTTTCTAATTGCAGCCTCATTTTGGCTCTATGGCCGCCCAACACATTTGAGTTGTTGTAGGTGGAAGGCCAGTTATTGAAAATATATTAAATATACCATTATTTCAACCCCTGCCATGAAGTATTTCTTTAGCGAGGTGACTCATTCATTCTGTTATTATTTATTCATGTGTAGACTTCTTATATAAATTGCTTTACTTACTGCTTTTGGGCTCCCAGTTCCAAAGCTCTCTTTTGAAAATCAATAACGCCTATCTTCTGAGGGAAAGTCTCAGTAAAGCAAGCTGTGATGGCTTTTGTTGCACTCCTTGGCATTAATTATTCATGGTTATTTATTGAATAATTCAACATATATGATAATTTTTAAATTCTCTACCTTGTTACTGAAAAGTGAGGACTTTTTGAGCTATCATTTGATTCATGCCAAATGAAGCCACTATCAGTGAGAGCATACAATATGTACAAAGGTGACATTCAGTTTTCAGGTCTTCATTAAATAAAATAAAGGTGATCTGAGTATATTCCAGGGCCCTCAAGGAGAACAGGAGACTTATTCCTACTCAACCAATACTCTAGGTAAAGGGAAATCAGCATAATGTTTAAGCAAGACGTAGAGAAAAAAGGGACATTTTCTTATGTGATAAAGTGTCAATGAAATAATGAATTAAAACATCTCCTTTTTTATACAATGAATTAAAGATTACACAGAAACATTCTCTACAAAGTGGTCTCTTCTTTCTCCTTTTTTCTTCTTCATTTTCTTCTTAGATTTTAATTGGTAAAAAGCAAAAGAAACTTCATAATTATTTGTTATAATTGTTAATTGTTTCTATGTTTTTATTGCTCAGCTTTATGCCATACCTTTGTTCTAACAGTCAAATGTTAACTGACTTTCTGAATGCTATAGATCTTTTGTATATGTGTGACCCCATCATTTAAACAATGTATAAACTAATATTAATCCACAATGTCACTTAAGCTGTTTAATGTAAAAAAAGAAGTAAAATATTTCTGTCTTTCCTTCATATACTTCTCCCAGGATTTCCAGGGGTTTCTTTTACAGTAAATAATTATCCTTCTAGCCTGGCTTCTGAACAGTTTTTTATCAGAACTAAAATATCTCTTAATAGTATATAATTTCCAAATCTTGTAGCTATGATTGAAGCAATAGCCTGTTTCAATATTGTATTATCAAGTTGCATATTGATTCTTACTGGGATGGGGCTAGGTAGCTGAATATGAATTAAATTATTTTAATAGCCAAATATGAATTAAAGTAATTTACAAGCAGAGTGTCACATGAATAAGAGATGCTAAATAGGTAATAAAAATGCCAGTATTTATCAAAATTTTTCATTCAAACAGGTCCAAAATTATTTAACAAACATGCACATTGTCAAGAAGAGCCAGTTTTATAGTTGCTGCAATTTACATTACTGGTAAAGCAAAAAGCTAAATGTGATGTAAGTTACTTTAACATGAAGTTAGACAAGGGAGGTTTTAACTGGTCATGTTCTTTGGTCTAACAATTTTGCTTATGGAGTTAAGTGATAAGCTGTTATCACATAAGGAGAGTTAAAGGCAAAAACCATATGATCATCTCAGTAGATGCAAAGAAAGCATTTGATAAAATTTAGCATCCCCCCAAGGTAAAAACCCTCAATAAACTAGACATAGAAGGAATATACCTCAACATAATGAAGGCTATATATGACAAACCCACAGCCAACATCACACTGAATGGGAAAAAGTGGAAAGCAATTCCCCTAGCAACTGAACAAGACAAGGATGTCCACTCTCACCATTCTTATTCAATATAGTACTGGAAGTTCTAGCCAGAGCAATCAGGCAAGAGAAAGATATAAAAAGCATCCACAATGGAATGGAAGGAGTCAAATTACCTGTTTGCTGATTATATTATCTTATATCTAGAAAATCCTCAAGACTCTACAAAAAAACTATTGAATGTGATAAATGAGTTCAGTAAAGCTGCTGGATACAAAATTAATGTACAAAAATCAGTAGCATTCCTATACACCAATAATAATCAAGCTGAGGACCAAATCAAGAAGGTAATCCCATTTACAATAGGTACAAAAAATACCTAGGAATATGTTTAACTAAGAAGGTGAAATATCTCTACAAAGAAAATTACAAAACACAGATAAAAGAAATTATGAATAATGCAAGCAAATGAAAAGACATTCCATGCTAATGGATTGGAAGAATTAATATTGTTAAAATGATCTTACTACCCAAAGCAGTCTACAGATTCAATACTATCCCTACCAATATACCAATGTTGGTCAGGGAGGGAGGGGAGAAAAAATATATGTATATATATACCAATGTCATTTTTCACAGAATTAGAAAAAAGAGTCCTAAAATTCATATGGAACCAAAAAGGAGCCCTGATAGCCAAAGCAATTATAAGCAAAAAAATAAAAAAAGATGGAGGTATCACATTACCCAATTACAGATTATACTACAGTGCTACAGTAACCAAAGCAATATGACACAGGTATAAAAATAGATCAATGGAACAGAATAGAGAACTCAAGAATAAAGCTACTGATTTTTGACAAACTTAACAAAAATATACACTGTGGAAATGATACCCTTCTCAGTAAGTGATAGTTGAAATCCAGAAAATTGGATTGTCATCTGCAGAAGAATGAAACTGGACCCCTATCTCCCACCATATACTAGTACAAAAATCAACTCAAGACCAATTAAAGACTCAAATGTAGGACATGAAACTATACAAATAGTGTAAGAAAATCTAGGGAAAACTGTTGTGGACATTGGTTTAGGCAAAGAATTTATGACTAAGACTGAAAAAGCACAAGTAACAAAACAAAAATAGACAAATGGGACTTAATTAAACTAAAAAGCTTCTGCACTGCAAAAGAAATAACCAACAGAGTGAATAGGCAATCTGCAGAATAGGAGAAAATATTTGCAAACTATAAATTCAGCAGGGGACTGATGTCTAGAATTTACAAGGAACTCAAACAACTAAACAACAAAAAATCAAATACCCTATTAAAAAGTGGGCGAAGGACATGAACACACATTTTTCAAAAGAAGGCATGCAATGGCCAACAAGCATATCAAAAAATGCTCAACATCACTAATCATCAGAGAAATGCAAATTAAAACAACAATGAGATGTCATCTTATCCCTGTCAGAATGGCTATTATTAAAAAGACAAAAAATAAGAGATGTTGGTGAGGATGCAGAGAAATAGGAACACTTCCACACTGTTGGTGGAAATGCAAATTGTACAACCATTATATGTTGGTGGGAGTGTAAATTCGTTTAACGATTGTAAAAGACAGTGTGGCTATTCCTCAAAGCCCCAAAGATAGAAATACCATTCAACCCAGCAATCCCATTACTGGGTATATACCCAAAGGAATATAAACTATTCTATCATATAGACAAATGCATGCGTATGTTCATTGCAGCACTATTCACAATAGCAAAGACATGGAATCAACCTAACTGCCCATCAATGATAGACTCAATAAAGAAAATGTGGTCCACATACATCATGGAATATGATAAGCCATAAAAAAGAATGAGATTATGTCATTTGTGGGAACATGGATGGAAATGGAGGTCATTATCCTTAGCAAACTAATGCAGTAACAGAAAACCAAATACCACATATTCTCACTTATAAATGGGAGCTAAATGATGAAATGCTTGGAAACAGAGGGAACAACACACATGGGGCCTATCAGAGGGTGGAGGGTGGGAAGAGGGAGAGGATCAGAAAAAAATAACTAATTGGTACTAGGCTTAATACTTGGGTGATGAAATAATCTGCACAAGAAATCCCCATGACACAGCGGGGTGCCGTGGCTCACGCCTGTAACCCCAGCACTTTGGGAGGCCGAGGCGGGCGGATCACAAGGTCAGGAGATCAAGACCATCCTGGCTAACAGTGAAACCCCGTCTCTACTAAAAATACAAAAAATTAGCTGGACGTGGTGGCGGGCACCTTAGTCCCAGCTATTCAGGAGGCTGAGGCAGGAGAATGGCGGGAAGCCGGGAGGCGGAGCTGGCAGTGAGCCAAGATCGCGCCACTGCACTCCAGCCTGGAAGACAGAGCAAGACTTCATCACAAAAAAAAAAAAAAAAAAAAAAAAAGAAAAGAAAAAGAAAAAAAGAAATATCCATGACACAAGTTTACCTATGTAACAAACCTGCATAAGAACTTAAAATAAAAGTCATAAAAACAGTATGGAAATTTCTCAAGAACTAAAAGTAAAACTACCATTTGATCCGTCATTCCCACTACTGAGTATCTGCCCAAAGGAAAAGGAAAAGGAAACATTATATTAAAAATGATACCAGCATGTGTGTTTACCAGAGCACTATTCACAATAGCAAAGATACGAAATTAACCTAAGTGTGCAACAACAGATGATTGGATAGAGAAAATGTTCTCTCTCCTCTCCTCTCCTGTCCTCTCCTGTCCTGTCCTGTCCTCTCCTCTCCTCTCCTCTCCCCTCCCCTCCTCTCCCCTCCCCTCCCCTCCCCTCTCTGTCTCTCTCTCCAATACAACTCTATTCAGCCATAAAAAAGAATGAAATTATGTCTTTAGCAGTAACATGGATGGAGGTCATTATCTCAAGGGAAACAACTCAGAATCACAAAGTCAAATATTACATGTTCTCATTTGTAAGTGGGAGTTTTAGCTTTAGTGGAGTAATAGTCATTGGAGAGTCAGAAGGGTGGGAGGAGGGTGAGAGATATGAGAAATTACTCAGTGGGTATAATGTACACTATTTAGGTGTTGATTACATTAAAAGCCCAAACTTCTTCACTATGCAATATGATCCACGTAACAAAACTGCACTTTTACCCAACTAAAATTACATATATATAGTGTGTGTATATATATATATATATATTGGCTTTGGCATTATACATAGAAAACACACTTTTAGTTGGTGATTTTCAATTTGGGGATAACAGAGACTTCATATTATCAAAAATTATAAATATGAAACCTTTATTTCATATTAACAAGTAATTATATTTAAAAATTATCTCCATCTCTCTCTCCTGCCATAGACAGTTCAGACTTACTAGTAACAATGTTTGCTCACAGTAAAGCTATGTGACCATTCAAAAGGGTGACTTACATGATCACACTTCACAGAATACAGGAAAGCACTGTGGCCTGATGAAGTCTAGGACCCAATCTAAATGCTCATTCCTGCTCAGGGAAGGTAAAATGCGAATATATAATCAGGTACAAATTTAAAGCTTTTCACAGGGGAGCCTACCTTTCCAAAAACTGAAATTCTAGAATAGTTATCTCTCTCCAGAGATATATTTAGAGTTCCTGTGAGGCAAATTTAGAAACCAGAACATTTTCTTGTGATTGTGGAATCAAAATAAAGAGAAATAAATAAAGTATATATTTATCAATTGATTGATTTCTCATTGTCTTCCAAGAACTTAAAGTGGTTCAAAAAATACCAAGGAAATAAATCTTAATGACAAATAGATTTAAGATCATGTAAGAGGTGAAATGAAGTGACAAAAATCATGTTCTCTCAGCATGGTGGTCACACATCAGCTGACGTCTTCCATGCAGCTACTGAAACGTGGAAAATATGATCAAGTGAATGCAAACAAAAAACTGCTAACCACTGGGGCGTGTACATGTCTACACCAGCCTATGTATTGGGGGTAAACTGGTACACTGTGAACAAAAATTGATTTTGAAAAATTAATATTTAGGATAAAGTATAAAATCCAGAGTGTGCTAATTTTCCATAATTACTGTGAATACTACCATAAATGTTTCTAACCTGTTCAATTTATTATTTCATAAAAACATCTTTGGGTAAATTTGGTGATGAAAAATAAGTACAGTCTTCTCTTCAGGCTTTCAGCTATACTGTTGCATTCCAGATGTTGCCAGAGACATGAGAAACTCAACTGAGAATCATCAACATTGATGTTTGACAATGTCCATTGTATAACAACCATTAGATTATTATACAAAGTACCATAATTTATGATATTGAGTCCTAGAAATGGTTCCACCTACAGAGGACTCTGTAAATTCCAGTGGAAAAAGATATTTTCAATAATTTAATATTCTCCATGTAATTACCTGAAATATCCCAAATTTAACTTTCTAAATGCAATTTTAAGGTGGTCAGTAAAATACACTCCAGTTATTCTGCTTCATGGAGATTCGGCTTAACTCCCAAAGGGTATTAATTGATTATAGTGGAGTAAGAAAATAATAATATAAGCTTTGATATTCTACTTTTGGAGATTTTGATATGTGGGATTGGTGAGAAAATTTATCTTTTAAAAAATATTTGCTGGTGATTTGATTCATGGCTCCATGTAGTGTAATAATTTTTAAAATGTATATATATATTATATATATATATATGCATGCATGTGTGTGTTATATTATGTTCCATAAACATTTGTAACATAACGGTTTATTTGAGATTGGTGTCTTATATAACTGTTACCATAGCCTGAAACATAAATATCACTCATAGCTCTGTGGTTTATTAAAATAAAAGATTTTTCTTTGCCCTTGTCCCAGTCCAATGCTGACGGGGGCAGGCACTCTGCTCCTCACAGTCATTCAAGGACCCAGTCCCAGTCCTACATGTCTAATGGCTCTATCTTCTTCTAGGGCCTTTGTGTTTCCTCACTGAATCCTCTGCTTCTGACTGGCAGGTAAAGGAGAGAGAGAAAAAATGAGTGGAATAAGCCCCAGGTTTGAGGGTGCAGCTGTAGAAGTGGTGTACATCATTATGCCGTCATTTTATTGTGCAAACCTGCCACCACATATGCAAGGAAGCCTGGGAAACGTAGTCTTCTGTATGCCAGAAGAAAATTAAGTTTTGTGATAATCATCTTAAAGTAAAGAAGAGGAAGTAAGAAGTTAACATAGTGATTCATAACAGGGAGGATCTTGCCCAGTTGGTCAGCAAAATAATGTGGGTTGGAGATGAGGATAAGCTTATGACTGGAAAGACAGCCAGGATCTCCAGCTTTGCGTGACAAGAGCTGAGCTTGTCCAAGCAAAGCCTCCTGAATCTGTGGACCTTAAGGAAGACATCTGCACATCAAGCTAATCAAGAATGGGAAAAGGCATAATGACGGTCTTCCCTCAATTGTAGCTTCTGATAAACAGTACAGAACAGTCAACGTCACAATTATGTAGCAGAGAGGAACAATGCCAGAGATTACAGCATTTTTTTCCAGACTTTTAGCTCCATCCACATGGATGTGGATAGCATAGCATATTCTGCTAGAGCATCACTTTGGAGATTGTGTTAAGAGGTATATCTGTTTCTGGTAGTAATAATGGGTGGTCTGAGAACCAAATTTCCATTTTTAGTTTGAGGAACACTATATGAGTAATCTTCTTTTTCAGGAATACACAATATACACAAGCATATTGCATGTTTCAAATTGCTAATTAAAAGAAAGCTCGATGTTAAGACAACTGCATGGGAAGACACTATCTCTATGCCCTCTATATTGTTTTGAACACTAATTTGAATGCAAATGTAAGCTATGGTTAGACACTTTCTAATATCTTTTTTTTATTTTTAGTCAAGTTTGGCTAGGTCTCTAGGCCTTGATATTTCTTCTTTTTTGCTGTCTTCTAAGGCAACATTGAGAAACAGCTAAGTTTATTATTTATATATTGAATGTAATTTTGAGAGGCTGATAAAATTCCCAAAGCCTTGGAGAATTTATACAATCGGGTGCCCTCAGTTCTTCATAGTTGGTGATAGTAAATGTCATATGAAAATATATTTTCCTGGAAAATACAAATACTGCTTATTTTCTTGAAATGTACCATTAGAATAGAAAATATTACTGTGTCCAATTCTACATCACAAACAACCAAACATAACATTCATTTTCAATTGAAAGATATATATCTCAAGGTAATATTTTTGTAATCTATTAACGAACTACTATTCTTTACCACATAGCTTTTTTTTTTTTTGAGACAGAGTCTTGCTCTCTTGCCCAGGCTGGAGCGCAGTGGTGCGATCTCGGCTCACTTCAAGCTCTGCCTCCTGGGTTCACGCCATTCTCCTGCCTCAGCCTCCTGGGTAGATGGGACTATAGGCGCCCGCAACCACGCCCGGCTAATTTTTTTGTATTTTTAGTAGAGACGGGGTTTCACTGTGTTAGCCAGGAAGGTCGAAATCTCCTGACCTCTTGATCCGCCCGCCTTTGTCTTTCAAAGTGCTGGGATTACAGGCGTGAGCCACCGTGCCTGGCCAACAGAGACTTTTATATCCCTGGAGAAAAGTGAAACTCTAATTTCCTAATAAATATATGTATCAATTATTAGTAAGTAGAAAAATTATAGAGATCACTTTATCCAAAATTGCTAAATAATTCCCACTTTTCAAAGATAGAGTGGGCAATTTCTACTGCCAGGTGTGGCAAATATTTTGTATTCAATTCAATGCTTTACGTTTTCAGATTTCAGGTCAGTTTTATGCTTTAGGTAGCTAAAAATTCTGATAGTCAGAGGCATATCAATGAAGAATCACTTTTCTGGAACAAAAAGATTTGTTGCAGTTTAAACTTGTAAAGCTTGTCCAGGGCAGTAAATTCCTTAAGATGTATAGTTATAATGAGAAGGATGTTTTCTTTTGACTTTTCTTTTTTCCTCTTATTTTTAGTTGACATGTAATGATTGTACATATTTATGAGATACAAAGTGATATTTTGATACATGTATACAATGCGTAATGATTAATTCAGGGTGATTAGCATATCCATTACCTCAAACATTTACTATTTGTGTTGCGCACATTCGAAATCCTCTCTTCTAGCTTTTTGAAAATATACACTAAATTATTTTAAACCATATTTATCCTACAGTGCTACAGAGCACTATAACTTATTCTCCTCATATAGCTGTAACTTTGTGTGCATTAACCAATGTCTATCTTCCCCTCCCTGCTACACTTCCCAGCCTCTAATAACCACAATTCTATTTCCTACTTCTATGAGATCTTTCTTTCTGACTCCCACATATGTGTAAGAATATGTGGGCTGGGTGCGGTGGCTCAAGCCTGTAATCTCATCACTTTGGGAGGCCAAGGTGGGCGAATTGCCTGAGGTCAGGAGTTCGAGACCAGCCTGGTCAACATGGTGAAACTCTGTCTCTACCAAAAATACAAAAATTAGCCAGGTATGGTGGTGGGTGCCTGTAATCCCAGCTACTCGGGAGGCTGAGACAGGAGAATTGCTTGAACCTGGGAGGCGGAGGTTGCAGTGAGCTGAGATCATGCCAGTGCACTCTAGCCTGGGCGACAGAGCCAGACTCCTTCTCAAAAGAAAAAAAAAAAAAGTGGTATTTATCTTTCTGTCCCTGACATATTTTATTTAACATAATGTTCTCCTGGCTCATTTTTGTTGCCATAAATGATACAATTTCATTCATTTTTTTATGACTGAATATATTCCGTTATGCATGGTGTGGTGTGAATTTAACAAATTCATTCATCTGTTGATGGATACTTACGTTGATTCGATATTTTGGCTATTGCCAAAATTGCTGCCATAAAAGGGTGCGTAGATATCTTTTTTATATACCCATTTCCTGTTTTAAGATAAATACCCAGAAGTGAGATTGCTGAATCATATGGTAGCTCTATTTATAGTTTTTTGATAAACCTCCTTACTGTTTTCCATAATAGCTGTACTAATTTATATTCCCACCAACAGTGTATGAAAGTTATCTTTTCTGCATCCTTGCCAATATTTATTATTTTTTGTTTTTGATGATAGCCATTCTAATGGATGAGATAATATCTCATTGTGGTTTTGATTTATGTTTCCCTAATGATTTGTGACATTGATTTTTTTTTCATATATTTGTTGGCCATTTGAATATCTTTTTAAAAATTTTTTATTTTATTTTATTTTTTTGAGACCGAGTTTTCGCTCTTGTTGCCCAGGCTGGACTGCAATGGTGCAATCTCGGCTCACTGCATCCTCCGCCTCCTGGGTTCAAGTGATTCTCCTGCCTCAGCCTCCCAAGCAGCTGAGGCACTCGCCACCACAACTAGCTAATTTTTTTGTATTTAGTATAGACGAGGTTTCACCATGTTGGTCAGGCTGGTCTCGAACTCCTGATCTCAGGTGATCCACCCGCCTCAGCCTCCCAAAGTGCTGGGATTACAGGCGTGAGCCACTGTCTGTGGCCCATTCGAATGTCTTCTTCAGAGAAATGTCTAATCAGATTCTTTGCCCATTTTAAAAATCAGATTTGTTATTGTTGTTGAAACTTTTGAGTTCCTTGTATATTCTGGATATGAGTCCCTTGTCAGATGAATAGTTTGTAAATATTTTCTCTCATCTAAGATTGTCTCTTCACTCTGTTAATTGTTTTCTTTGCTCTGCAGAAACTTTTTGGCTTGATGTAATGTCTCAAACTCCTGACCTCAAGTGATAGGCCTGCTTCGGCCTCCCAAAGTGCTGGGATTATAGGTGTGAGCCACCATGTCCAGCCTCAGTAGCTTTTATGTGCCCAGAAAATTATCAATTTCTTTTAGGTTTTTGAATTTGTTAGTGTAGAGTTGTTCATAATAGTCATCAATGATCCTTAGTACTTCTGTGGTATCAGTTATAATGTGTTCTTCATTTCTGATTGCATTTATTTGAGTATTTTCTTTTTTTATGGTTAGCCTAGTTAAGAGTTTGTCAATTTTGGTTCTAAAAAAACTGTTTTGTTGATCTTTTGTATGTTTTTTAGTCTCTATTTTGTTTAGTTATGCTCTGATCTTTATTATTTTTTTCTTCCTACAAATTTTGGGTTTGGTTTATGCTTGCTTTTGTAGTTCCTTGAGGTGCATTGTTAGGTTATATACTTGAAATTTTTGTACTTTTTTGATGTAAATGTTTATTGCTATAAACTTCCCTCTTAGAACTGCTTTTGATGTATTCCATAGGTTTTGATATGTTTTGTTTCCATTTTCACTTATTTTGAGAAACTTGACTTTCTTCTTAATTTCTTTGACCCATTGGTCATTCAGAAGCATATTATTTAATTTCGATATACAGTTTCTAGAGTTCCTCTTGCCACTGATATCTTGTTTTACCCTATTGTGGTCTGAAAAGATGCTTGAAATGATTTTGATTATTTTTGTGTTTATTGAGATTTGTTTTGTGGCCTAACGTATGGTCTGTACCAAAGAATGTTCCACGTGGTGATGAGAATAGTGTGTATTCTGCAGCTATTTGATATAATATTCTATAAATGTCTATTAGGTCTATTTGGTTTATAGTTTAAGCCCAATACTTTGTTGACGTTCTGTCTCCATTATCTGTCCAATGCTGACAGTGGGGTGTTGAAACCCCCAACTATTATTGTATTGGGTTTTATCTTCTGTTTAGCTCTAAGAATATTTGCTTTATTTATCTGGATGCTCTGGTGCTGGGTGCTGCATATATATTTAGAATTGTTATATCCTCTGGATGAATTAATCCCTTTATTATTGTATAATGATCTTCTTTGCCTTTTTTTTGTTTTTTAACCTAAAGTCTATTTTGTCTGATGTAAGTAAAGTTACTCCTGCATGCTTTTGTTTTCTGTTTGCATTGAATATTTTTTCCATCCTTTCATTTTCAGTCTGTGTGTCTTTTCAATTATCCTAACACGTATCTTTTATCTTCCATTCATTTATGAATTATTTCACGCAATAACATTTATTGTTTAATATGATAAATAAACAAAATGGAAGATTCTTTCTGACCTTCACTCAATTATAGTGTAAGGAGTGATTAAAAATGAATAATATGATTAATATCAAATTGAATATTAAAATTGTATGCTGTGTGTATTGTGAAAAATGCTTTCTCATTCCCTTTTGGAGATAGGAGATCTACAAGATGGCCTTGAAGTATTGATATTTTCATTGCAGATAATCAATGTCAAATATGTGACTGTCAAGAAAAGTCAAAGCCCTTTGCTATGTAGATATTTTGAGATGAACGCAAAACTTAGCAGGTCTCTCTCACCTTTGTTAGTTTTACTTCTCACTTCCCTTAAGGTTGGATGTAACAAAACCAAAATTAAAAGAAACCTGGAAAACAAAACCAATACCCTGTTTGGCTGCCCGAAATATCATTAAAACATTTAAAAATGTATTAATAAATACATTATTTGAGAGTATTCTCCATATTGACCCAACCAACTTTTTTTTTTTTTTTTTTTTTTTTAAGGAAAACTAGGTCCTATATGCTGTGTAGTCATTGTGGTATAGCCATACACTAAAGAGCTTATATTTAACTAAGGAAGATAGAATTATTTGTTAAATACAAAACTGTGATAAGTATTATGAGGATACATTAGGTGTGATTTCAGTCTAGAACAGATTTTCTCAGCTGGGGCCAATTTTGCAATCTAGTAGCCATTTGACAATAACTGGAGGCATTTTTTGATTGTTAAAAGTAGGGAAGGGGATGTTACTGGAATCTGGTGGGCAGAGGACAGTGATGATGCTAAACATTTTACAGTGCACAGGACAGACTTCACAAGAATTTACATGCTCTAAAAGTCAATAGTGCTAATGTTGAGAAACCCTTGTCTAGAATGATGGGAGGGAACAGAGAGAGAATGGAGGTTTGAGAATCACTGTGGCAGCTATTCAGCTGAGCAACTGCCTCTGGGTGAGGATATCTTTTAAATATTCCATTGTTAGATGTTTAATTCAATAATCTCATTGTGTACTGTGCCTAAATAAAGCTTTATAAAACTTGGTTGAATAAATAAATTATAAAATAGCAAATGTTAATATGAAACAGATGGTACCCAATCTGCCATCAACTTTCCTACCCTTTTATTCATTGGCAGAATAATTGATGTTTCCCAGGTTTGATCCTGGCCCCATGAGCTACAATTGTTTCTGTGACTATAAAGTGGAAATAATGATAGCTTCTCTTACAATTGTTGTGAGAATTAAGTGAGAATGTTCAATAAATATAAAGTGTCCTGCACAGTCTCTGAATAAATGGCAGCTATTAATCAGAGAAGATCACATTATGCTCCAAATGATATAAGTCACAGAGCTTTTGTGGCCCCATAAATTACAGAATTATTATATCTTACATGAAGACAGAAATGGAAATGATTACCTCTTTTGATGGAGAGCTGTGTTGTGAATTACTTTTTTAAACCTTCAGATAGATGAGTTATATGTGAAAAGCCCTGGAACGCTAAGTGTTTTTACAAGATTTGTTACTGGCAAGAAATGGACAAGCATAAATGAGATCAGTCCAGAAAGATTACCCTGCAAACTTGCTGATGTGCTGTCTGCTAAAGTAGTGACAGGTCATAAAACTACTGAGAGAGAAAGGCAGAGGTATAGGGCACTGGAGAAAAAAGGCTCCATCCCCGGATCTTTACACATGCAACTTTTTCAGGATTTATTCTGCTACACTGCTATGCTTAGCATCATGGTGTCTTTTATGTGTGGTACAGGAAGTTGACCTGAGTTTTGATGAAAGTGAGAGAATTATTGGGGATGACTATGACACTATTACCTGGCCAGTATCATGTAGTTATTATGAGTCCAGGGTTTGAAGTGAGCTGAAACGTCCCAGCTTTGCTGCATTACGGCAGTGTAACCTTGAGGAGGTTCAGCCTTCTGATACATTTTCTCTTCTGTACAATGGGAGTATCGATGCTACTGCTTCCTCAGTGGCATTGATTAAATTGGATAATTCATGAGAGGCACTTCGCACAGTGCTTGGGACTGTAATTATCATTATCATCATCATTATTTTCATCAGTGTCATTTTTACTATAATCTCTTAAAAGCTTTCTATTATTAAAATAATTTGTACCACTTAACTTTTAGCTTTTTAAAGGGAAGAAGCCTTAAAGTACTTTTCTTATTTATTTTTAATTTTTAAGATAATTTCAACTTTTATTTTAGATTCGGGGGTACATGTGAAGGTCTGTCACATGGGAACACTGCGTGATATTGAGGTTTGAGGTACAAATGATCCTATAGGCAGTCCCTCAGCCCTCACCTTTCTCCCTCCCACCTCCAGCAGTCCCCAGTGTCCATTGCTCCCATTTTTATGTCCGTGTGTATTCAGTGATAAATTCCCGTTTATAAGTGAGGACATATGGTATTTGGTTTTCTGTTTCTGAGTAAATTCACATAAATAATAGCCTCCAGCTGCATCCATATTGCTGCAAATGACATGATTTTGTTCTTTTTAATGACTGCATAGTATTCCTTGGTGTATACGTATCATTTTCTTCATCCAGTCCACCATCTATGGACATTTAGGTTGATTCCATGTCTTTGCTATAGTGAATAGTGCTGCAATGAACATGAGTGCATGTGTCTTTTAGACAGAATGATTTATTTTCTTTTGGGTATATACCCAGTAATGAGATTGTTGGGTCAAATGGTTCTACTTTAAATTCTTTGAGAAATCTCCAAACTGCTTTGCACAAAGGCTGAACTAATTTACATTCCCGCTAACTTTGTGTAAGTGACCTCTTCTCTCTGCAGTCTCACCAGGATATGCTGTTTTTTGGCTTTTTAATAATAGCCATTCGGACTGGTGTGAGATGATATCTCATTGTGGTTTTGATTTGTGTTTCTCTGATGATTAGTGGTATTGAGTATTTTTTTCATATATTTGTGGGCTGCTTGTATGTCTTTACACATGCAGCTTTTTCAGGATTTATAGTGCTACACTGCTATGCTTAGCATCATGGTGTCTTTCATGTGTGGTACAGGAAGTTGACCTGAGAAAACGCCTTTTCATGTCCTTTGCCTATTTTTTTAATGGGGTTGTTTGTTTTTTGCTTGTTGATTTGTTTAAGTTCCTTATAGATTCTGGACATATTAGATCTTTGTCAGATGTATAGCTTGTAAACATTTTCTCACATTCTGTACATTCTGTGTTTACTCTGTTGATAGTTTCTTTTGCTGTTTAGAAGTTCTTTTGTTTAATTAGGTCCCATTTGTCATTTTGTTGTTGTTGTTGTTGCAGTTGCTTTTGAGGACTTAGCCACTAATTCTTTGCCAAGGCCAATGTTGAGAAGCATGTTTCCTAGGTTTTCTTCCAAGGTATTTATTGTTTGAGATCCTACGTTTAAATTTTTAGTCCATCTTAATTTAATTTTTATACGTGGTGAAAGGTAGGGGTCCAGTTTTATTCTTCTGCATATGCCTAGCCAGTTATCCCAGCACCATTTATTGAACACAGAGTCTTTTCCCCATTCTTCATTGTTTATTTTTGCTGACTTGGTTGAAAATCAGATGGTTGTCAGTATGTGGCTTTATTTCTGAGTTCTCTATTCTGTTCCATTGGTCTGTGTGTCTATTTTTGTGCCACTACCATGGTGTTTCAGTTATTGTAGCTTTGTGGTATAGTTTGAAGTTGGGTAATGTGATGACTCTGGTTTATATACCTTTTCTTTTTTTTTTTCTTTTGCTTAAGGTTGCTTTGGCTATTTGGGCCCGTTTTTGGGTTCATATGAATTTTACAATAGTTTTTTCTAATTCTGTAAAATATGAGGTTGGTAGTTTGATAGGAACAGCACTGAATCTATAGATTGCTTTGAGCAGCATGACCACTTGAAAAATGTTGATTCTTCCAATCCATGAAGAGCATGGAATGTTTTTCCATTTGTTTTTGTGTTATATGTGATTAGCTGGTACTACAGGAGCACGTCACCATGCCAAGCTAATTTTTATATTTTTAGTAAAGAAGGGGTTTCACTCTATTGGACAGGCTGGTCTCGAACTCCTGACCCCATGATCCACCCGCCTTGGCCTCCCAAAGTGCTGGGATTACAGGCGTGAGCCACCACACTCAGCCATTTGTGGATTTTTAAATCTGATAATTCTTGAATCTGATCACTAATATCTATAGAATCTCTTCACAATAGTTTGCTTTTTATTTTCCTATATGCCATTATCTACTTATTTTCTTTCCTCAATGTATCTGATTGATCAGTCAAATAATATTCATGATTTCATTAAGCTTTGGAAAAACATCCAAAATACTTCAAATTTGGACATTTGTAGAGTGAGGTGTCTCCTGATTGTGTGAGACTTCTCAAAAAGTAGAAGACAAAAGCAGAAAGCAGCCCACAAAAGGCATAAGCTGACAGTGTATATGGTATCCAAAGAAACTTTCACACAGTATGTATTTGATATCAGCTCTTTAGGTGACAATGGCCTGCAGGCAGCCATTTCCATCTCTCCTACCCATGCTGGGATCCCTAGGTGATTATAATATTTATTTTCATCAGCCTCAGAATACTTTTCAATTCACAAAGGAGCCATTACCTATTGATCAATGTCAGTAAGCTTATTGAAATCTCTTTCTCATCTCTAGCTGTATAAAGGAATAGAAGAGTGATTGGTATGTGAAATGGTAAAGCCAAGATTCAAAAATACTGGTATGGATCCTAAGATAAGCAGGAGGAGAAATGTACAATATTTAGATTGTATCCAAATATTATTTACAAAAATGCAGGATAGAGGCAGCAGGCAGCAACACAACAGGAACATTTACAAGTAAGACTTTGGTTTATTGCAGGCTTGGTATAAATCAACAAGCACAAACCCTTGTGAAATCAGATGCTAGAGGAGTGATTGGCTGGTCATCAGATGAGAGAATATGAAGACGCACAATCTTGAAGAAAACTTATGGACAGATATGAAAAAAACACTCAAAACATTTGAATTTTGTAGATTTGATAGCTAATGTTAATAATCAAAGATGTCTAATGACCTCTATTTCATTACAAAAATATCCCATCCATTTACTTCTTCTGATGCACCAGTTATCTAAAGAGAGAGGGGGGAACACAGAAACCAAGCCAAAATTATTTTTACTTTTATGTGAAGGAAAAAAATCAGAGTTCTCTGAGTAGGCATAATTACTTAAAGTGATGAAAAAAGTGATGGAGGGGAGTGTGTAATGATTGAGGGTTTTGCTGTATTTGCTATTCTTTCTGCTATTTGTTTGTTGCTTTGATTGACAGATCTTTATTTCCCAGAGCTGATGAAGAGGCAGTGGATTGAGTTTCCAATGGTTAGTCCAGTCAGAAGAGCAACACCCAGGCCTGACTCTTCTCCTTTGATTAGGACTGTGCAGGGAGCACAATAAGGCATGCGATCCTGTGTGTATCTCTGTCACCACTGGGTCCAAAATCAAGTTCATTGATTTATCTTCATGGAATAATCACAAAACAAACACTGATTGTCTATAGATGTCAGGGAATTCTGCCTATATTATGTTTTATTATGTACTTTCTCATTTAATTCTCAAAGCAATGCTGGCAATAATGAATGCTTTTGAGCCCCAGCTTTCTGACATATAAAATGCAAATTGAAGCGAATGCATTTCTTAAGGACTTACTGCTAAAAATTGAGACAAGACTTGATGTTATGAAAATTTTATTCTAGTAATATTTCTAACATGTGATGATAAATACTGGAGAATACATTTTTTAGCTTTACTTCCAACCATCTTTATAACTGAGAACACATTAGAACCCAGTCTATTTCTTTTCTGCGATCTTAAAGTAAAAAATGATGAATGTAAGGGAATAACACAATATTCCAAAGCATTTTTTCAGATGGAGCTGAAAGATACCTGAAAATTCAAGTAACTTCTATAGCCACAGGTGGTGTATTCTAAATTAAAAGATTAAAGAAATAGTATAACACTTATCTTTTAAAAAGGAAAAATGATGTCAAAAGTATTAAATGTGAATCAGTATTCAAAGATATATACTAATATAAATTTACCCTTAAGACTAAATTTGCGAAATTTTATATTATTTTTATCAAGTAAAATATGAGATAAATTTTGGTAAACAATATTTTAATATATTACACATACACACACAGACATACATGCACATCAGATGTTGTTATCCAACTCAATGTTAAATTAGTCCCATGAGCTTCACAGTGAGGGGTACTTGGCTCCGTTAAATGGGTGAGGAAATTGGTTCAGAGAGGTTTTGTGAGTTTAGGCAAGCCTTTCAGCCATTCACCTTTTTATTTACTCATGAATTCTTTCCGTCAATAACTTTTTTTTTTTTTTGCCTATTATAATGAAGAAGAAGGGGAGGAGAAGAAATAAAAGGAAGTGATCCTAATACATGTAAAATAGTATCTCTTTAAATGGTCACGTCAACCGCAAAAAACACTTACATAATCCTGTCTCTCCATTTTGGCTGGTTTTTACCAACTGTGTTACTTTTTATGCAACTAGTTACTCTGTGTAAGGCCCCAGGTTCTTTACCTGTGAAATGGGATTAACGATGGCTCCTTGCGCTCGCTTTCATATGCCCTGTGTCATCAACAGTCAGCTTTACATTCTTCAGGTCCAGTGCAAAGGAACCACACTGGGCTTCAAGGGCTCAGCTTGACGACAAAATAAATAAACACTGGAAATATAAATTGTAACACGGCACGGTGAGCTTCATGAGAGTTTAAGCCCAGCCCTGAGGCAGCAGAGAGGAGGCAATTCTTTCTGCCTGAAAGCATTTGGAAAGATTCAAACTCACACCAGAAAGGGCATTAAATCTAGGTTCAAAAGGATAAGGAAGAATTTTCCAGGGGTTAAAGAGCAGGAAAAAGGAATTTTACGTATTTATAACATCTCATCTAAAGACACAGAGTCAGGAAGGGGGAGAATATATTGATTACACCTGAAACATAGTTTAACGAATGTGAAATGATCAGAAAGAAAGCTATGGTCAAATTAGTAAATGCCTTGGCTATTTTGGCTAAAGAGGTTTTTTTTTTATTTTCAACTTTTATTTCAGATTCAGGGGGTACACGTGCAGGTTTGTTACATGGGTATATTGCACGATGCTGAGTTTTGGGGTATGATTTATTCCATCACCCAGGTATTGAGCATAGTATTCAATAGAGTTTTTCAACTCTTTCCCTCCTTCCTCCCCCTCCCCTGCAGGAGTCCTCAGTGTCTATTTTTCCATATTTATGTCCATGTGTACTTAAATGTTTAGCCCCCACTTATAAGTAAGAACATATGGCGTTTGGTTTTCTGTTTCTGCATTAATGCAGCTTAGGATAATGACTTCTAGCTGCATCCACGTTGCTGGACATGATTTTATTCTTTGTTATGGCTATATAGTATTCCATGGTGTATATGTACCACATTTTCTTTATCCAGTCCATAGGTAAGAAACTTGTAATCTAACTAGTAGGAACTTTTAATCAACTTGTTTTCAAAGAGATATTAGAAGTCTTGGGTATTTTTTTGCTAAAATTAGTGGCTTATCTATAGACATGACTTTTATATTATTATACTTATCGTATTTATTATAATATATTATAAGTAATTATGTATTAAATATTATATATAAACAGTATATAGAGATGCTATTATATGTAATACTACCTATCTAACTCCTTATTTCAATTCTTTGCAGTCACTGAAGATATTGTGGAGAATCGCCTCAAAATATTTTAATTCTATAAATATTCATTAGTTTTAGTGGTAAGTTATTTTTAAACAGTCTTCAATTTATATTTGAACAAAGAGTCACACTGTAGATGAAGCACTGTTGCTTATGCTTATTTGAATATATAATTTCCTTGTAACAACACTTTCTACCGAATCCTGTTTTCTGAAAGGAAGCTATTATATACATGAAGGGGAGCTTTAAAAAGTGAGGTGCGAGATTGGAGACATGTTTCCAACGACAACTGATGGGTCTTGTTTTTTGTGTGTGAATAAATGAGAATACACGAAAAAAGAAACCCACACTTCATGTTTCATGTAGAGAAGGCACTCTGCAAATTTGAGGTCTCTATGGGATGTGGATGGGGATATTTTGGTTCCATTAATGTCTCCTGAATAAACATGCAAACACAGAAAGGAAATAACAAATGGTACTGAACACTAATGTGTCTTTAAAGACTAATGCAGAATTTCAAGGAAACAATCCAACAGAAGGATGCATGGCATGGAAACACCTCCTGGGAATGGTGGCAGACCCTGACTGCTCTAAGCCATTTAAACTGAAACTGAAAAACCCCAGCAGAATAATTACATGATGGAAAGCAATCCTTGTTAAGAAGCTGCCTTATTAGCTTACAAGTGGCCTTCCTCTCCTTCATCTAGTCTAGCATTTCATGGCACTTTTCAGCTGAAAAAACTTTTAAATGCTGTTGACAAATTGGTGGAAGGACTTTATGCAAAAGCTGAGTCTGTCTTCGGCAAGCATTTGTAATATTGATTAAAAGCAAATGCTATTTCAGTATGTGTCCCTTAGAGATAGCAAACAATGATTTCAAGTCCTTAACTAAGCTCTATTGCATAAAAATACAAATACGAAAAAAGCAAATTCAATTCTTTTTAGAAAAAAGGCTTGTAATTTGTTTAATAAAATTAAGTTTTTGTTAGTCCTCAAACTATGTGCCTATATTCACATATACCAGTGATATTTTAATATTAGATTCATGATATTGTTTGTGTATATTTAAGATGAGAATTACAGAAAAGGTAAATGTTCTTCTTTTTATTATATATGTATTTAAAATTTATAGAAAGAAACACTACTTTTAGAATTCAGAGTTTCAGCAGAAAATAGGATTCTTCCTAGTTAGTTCATCTATAGAGATTTTAAGGGAACAAAGAGTGGTAAAGAATTCAACACACCAGTCACATCGGGAAGATCAAAAGGCTGAAAGTAGATGAGGAGGAAATTAGGGCACCAGAGTCCAGTGAGAACTGAATTGTGGTGGCCACAGGGTTGTTCAGCAGATGGGGAGCTGTGGAGCAAGCAGTGTTGATGCAGAGTTGCAGACAGGGAGGCAGGAATAAGAGCATTGCACTCTCTCTCCTCACTTTTGACTCTCCAAAGAGTGCCTCCTATTTGCTGACTCAATATAGAAGCCAGAAGGTGAGGACTCCCTGATGGTGCAGTCCGTAGCTACAGGGAACCTCGGGGCAGAGAGTGGGGAAGGATAGATAATGGATAGTGGGAGACATAGTGGCCATAATGGGGATAATTTCACTATGTGTGGGAACTTCAGGACTCTTAATGTTTTCCTGGACATACAAAGCGAGCTGAAGCCATGTCACCCAAGGCTTGTCCATGTATTTCTACTGAGAGATAACTCTGCTAAACACAAGGAGGATTCATTTGTGGTCAAATAGATTAGTGCATCTCCAAGAGTGGGAGAGTACCCTATTAACAAGTTGCTGTATTCCCTTGAGACCTCTTGAGCCTTTAGATTTTGGAAATATTGGGTTTAACAAAATTAATCTGATAGAGATTTCAATTAATGTTTAACAGAATAAATGTTTCATATAAAATATGAAATGCTGAAGTTGTTGGATCAAAGTAGAGGTCCAAGAAAGAGATATCTTTGGTGGTTGGGAGATAAGCTCTATGCCATCTATAGTATTGTCTATACCTTTCTTATCTGTGAAGCTTATAGTACATTACACTTAGAGTCAGAAGAAATGGAAAATCAAAAGGAAAATTGTCCTCTCTTCCTCTTCTGCTTCAGCTGTGAGCATTCCTGCAAATTCATGCTTCAATGCTATGATCTTTATATTATCTCTTAAAAATGCCCTCTTCCCTCTGGTTTCAATTATTGTCTCCATTCTTATTATACCCTAATCAGAATCTGTCTTCCCAAATTCTAGTTCAGAATCTCTAGGTACAGATCTTTTTAAATGAATATTTGTTTTAGGATATTTTCAGCATCTCGAATTTAGCATTAGGTTACGTAGTTATTTAGACTTGGTTGAGTTGCTTAACCCCTTTAACTGAATTTCTGTATCTGTGTTATTAGGGAGTTAGGCTAAATATAATTAGTGGGGAAATGTTGCATGAATATTTGGTTATGACCTTTTTATTCTACCAAATGTCAGTGAGTCAGTTAAAATCTTCTGGAGGAAGTTTTTACATCCCGCTAAATCCATAACTTCTGCAGAATGAAGAATGGATATACAAAGTTGTTGTTTTGCAATACAGAAACAGGATAGGGGTTTGGTAGTAGACCCAGAGTTGCCTCTTTGGTTCAATGGGTTGCCTCTTTGGTAGAGGATGGGTCAAATCCATCAGTTTTGAGGCTTTCAGAAGGAGTCACCCAAGAGACAATAAACAATCACCTCAACATGTGAAGAGGGTTTTTTCTGCCTATATGTGCCACACAGGGTGCATAGAAGGAGGGCTGCCCAGTCCTGCTGACACTGGTGGTCCTTCTGAAGGAGTGTCCTTGTCTATGGCCATACCACCATGAATGCTCCCGACCCCATCTGAAGGAGCGGCCTCTGGTGGTCTGGATCACTGCTATTCCTTGCCTCCAAAATATAATGCTACCCTCAGCTAGCAAATGGAGAAGACTGCTAAGATTGACCACTCGGAGTCTTCAAAGAAGAGTCCCAGTTTTTCAGTTGGGACTTACCAGAATAGCAATCACTATAAACTACAATATTTCCACTTCTTTAAATTTTCTGCTGCTCAAGACATCAAAACTTGACTATACAGATGTTTCAGAAGCCCACATTAGTGTATAGGCAAAGAAAACCTTGGTCCACTTAAGGATTCTCAGTAGTTTGAGAGAGAAATCAAGGTCCAGCACCCTTATAAGTGATGATTATTAAGACAGAGAAAATGGGAAAGATTCAAATGCATTTGCCAATTTTGTTCAATGTATTTACTTATTTAAACATTCCAATGGTTAAAAAAATCAAAGCTATCATAGAATTATGATAGAATCTTTCTATATCTAGCCATCCATCTATCTACCTTCCAACCAAAAGGTCATCACTGTTTTTAGTTCCCTTGAATCCTTCCAAAGCATTTGCTATGTGTGCGTGCTAAATATAAATATTTACACATCCCCATTCTTCAGAAAAAACTGGTAGCATATTATACAAACTGTTCTGTACCTTGGCTTTTTTGCTTAACAAAATATAATATGTATTATAGGTCCTTCCAATTCAATGCATAGCTTATTCTCAGTTTTTAAAATAGCTCTATGGTATTCCATTACATCAGTGGGTTTCAATGAGGGAGAGCAATTTTGTTTCACATGACACGTTTGACAGTGTGTGAAGACATTTTTGGTTGTCACAGTGGGGAGGGGGGCTGCTAATGGCATCTAGTTTGTAGAAGCCAGGGATGTTGCTAAACATCTTATAAAGCCCAGGACATCCCATCCTCCCCCAAAGAATTATCTGACCCAAAATATCAGTAGTGCTGAGGTTGAAACACCCTACATTATATGAATGTACCTCAGTTTATCTATTCCTTTTGATGGACATTGAGTTACTTCCCAAAGTTTATTACAATACCACAATGAATAATTCTGCTTGTTTTATTTTATGTGATAGAGAATATTTGTAAGAAGGCTAAATGATGGTTAAAAGTTAAGAACATTTGTCATTTTGATACTGACAAATTTTATGCATTAGGTTTTTCTTCAGGTTACAATTCTTTCAGCAAATTGTGAAGGTTTGTTTCCAACAGCATTGCCAATGTTGTCCCTCATCAAACATCAAGAAATTTACCAATCTGAACATGTTGTATCCAAGTCTGTTTTAAATTTTGTTTTTTTTCATTATGAGTTAGGTAGAGCATCTTTTTGTACTTAAGAACCTAAATGTTCATTTTTTCTGCGCAAGCTTGGTTACATAATTTGTCCAATTTTTAGAAAGTCAGTTTATCTTTTTATTGGTCTCTAGAAGCTCTTCACATATGAGGAAAATTAGTCTTCTTTCTGTTTAGTGATTTGTAAGTAATGCTCCAGTGTGTCATCTGCATTTTGACACTGTTTAAAAAATGTATCTTACATATGTATTTTTGACATAAAAGTTTTAAATTTTAATTGACTCATCCTTTCGTAGCTTCTATGTTATGAATCACATTTAGAAAAAGTCTTTCTGCATTGAGATTATAAATTAATTTGGAAACCAAAATTCTCTTTTTATTACCTTTATTATTTTATTATTACCAAGAAATCTTGGATATTTGGAACTCTGTGTTGGTATTTGATATAAGGTACGAATCCAAGTTTACTTCTTCCCCCTCCCTGATCTAGCTAAGTAGCTAGTCTCAATAGATATTTTGAATAGTCCATGTTTTCCCGCTGATTTTATATATCTCTTACCACATGTATAATATCCTCATGGGATCTGGGTTTACTCTGTGTATTGTGTCCCATTTATCTGTCCTTTGTTCATGAGGTGGTATCATAATCTCATACTTTTTTATTATTGGACTGAGTTTACCTCTATTGCTTTTTAAAAAGTTTTTTTTTTCCCCTAGTCATCTTGCTTGCTCATTTTTATAAGATTTCTAACAGTTTTATTGAGATAGAATTTATATATCTTGCAGTTCACCCATTTACAATGTATAATTTGATGATTTTCCATGTAATCACAGGTATATGTGACCAGTACCACAGTTAGTTTTAGAATGTCTTCATCACCTTGAAAAGAAACACTGTACCCTTTAGCTGTCATCTCCCTATTCACCCATTCCTCCCCAAACTTAAGTAACCAATTTCAGTTTCTATAGATTTCCCTATTCTGAACAATCATATGAATGGAATCACATGTATAGTCTTGTGTAACTGGCTTCTTTCACTTAGCATAATATTTTCAAGGTTCATCCATTTTGTAGCATGCATTAGTACTTCATTTTTTATGGCTGAATAATATTCTATTAGATGGATATATCACGTATCATTTATCCATTAATCCCTTAATACACATTTGGGTTACTTCCTCCTTATGGCTGTTATAAGTAATACTGTAATAAACATTCAAGTTTTTGTATGGAGATATGTCTTCATTTCTCTTGGGGCTATAGCCTGGAGGAGAATTGCTGGATTATATGGTAATTCTATGCTTAATCATTTGAAAAACTGCCAGACAGTTTTCCAAGATTGCTGTATATTTATTTTCCTAAAAGCAGTTTAGGAGGGTTCTAATTTCTCCACGTTCTGGCCAACATATTATTATCTGACTTTTCAGTTCTAACAATCCTAATGGATGTGAAGTGGTATCTCATTGTGGTTTTGGTTCATAAGAACTTTAACTCATTTGCTAAATTCAAAATAAATTATTAATACTTTACTGAAGTCATGTAATTTAGAGATAATTGACATATCTTTAAAACAAGCAGGCAATTATTATATATGCTAAACTTTCATAGTTCTTATAGATATTTCTCATTAAATTTATCCTCACAGGCTTTATATTTATTTTGTAAATTCAAATATTTAATCTGTTACATCTTTTAGCTTGTTGTGTTTGCTTGTAGAAAGCTATTATTTCTAATAGTAAAGTTGTATCTTGATAAATTACTGAAGTCTATTGAATATAGTGATTTCTAACTGATTGTTTAGAGTTCCATATGAAAATTTTACTTCCCCCTTTCCAATTTTATTCTTCATTTTTCATCTTTTTAAATTAGGTATAATGGTGTCTTTTAGATTAACATATATTTTATCATAATAATATGAATATTTGAGAGTTCTTTAAAATAAAATTGTATGTTTAATTGTAGCAAACGCCTTTTCATTGTTTGAGAAGATAAACAACACTTGGCATGATGTATTATTCTTTTGATGTGTGACTGAATTCTAATTGCTAATATTTTATTTAAGATGTTGGCTTTGATGATGAGAAATGAGATTTGTTTGTAATTATCTTTTGAGGGCTAACATTGCCAAGTTCAGTATCAATGTTGTTAGACTTGATTAAAAGAAATAATTAAATTTTATTTCTTTTTATGCTCTGAAGAAGTTTAAAAACATGGGAATTATTTGCTCTTTAATATTTTGGTAGAATTCTCCTGCAAAAGAGCTTGGTTATTTTGGTAGGCAGAGTAATAATCCTTCAAAGATGATTATGTTCTTTTCCATGGAACCTGTCAATATGTTAGGTTACATGACAGCAAGAGAGAATTAAGGTGGCTGATCTAATTAAGGTTGTTAATCAATTAACCTTAAAACAAGTTTAACCTGGTTTGCCCATGTGGGTTTAATTGGTTTACCCAGGTGGGCTTAATATAACCAAAGTGGAAGATGGAGACAGAGAAGGTCAGAGTCAGAGAAAGATTTAAGGATGTTATGTCGCTGGCTTTGAAGATGGAGGAAGGAGACACATGCCAAGGGATGTAGGCAGCTTTTAGAAGCTGGACAAGGCTAAGAAGCAGATTCTCCCTGGAGTTTCCAGAAGGAGCACATTCCTGCTGACACCTTGATTTTGCCCAGTGAGACCTATTTTGGACTTCTGACTTCCAGACTGTAAGAATGAATCTTTGTTGTTTTAAGTTACTAAGTGTGTCTGAGATGAGCACGTGCACACACACACGTATACAAATACATGTAAATATGAATATGAATATGAATTCTTACCGAAATTGCCAGTTCTAATCCAGCACCACAGTGTTCATTCTAGCTTTATCATCTTGCTTATTAGTTACTAGTTTGTCTAAACTGGGTCCTATTATTTATAATTTATTTACTTGTTCAGTATTTACTTATTTGTTGAGTATTTTTTTTTCATACATTTGTTGGCCATTTGCATGTCTCTTCTTTTAAGACGTGTCTATTTAGGTTTTTTGTTCATTTTTAATTTTTTTTTTTGTTTTCTTGCTATTAAGTTCCTCATTTATTTTTTATATTAACTCCTTATGATATATATGGTTTGAAAATATTTTCTCTCGCTCTGTAGGTTGTCTCTTCACTCTGTTTTTTTCCTTTGCTGTGCAGATACTTTAATTTTTATGCAATCCCATTTGTTTATTTTTGCGTTTGTTGGCTGTGCTTTTGGGGTAACATCCAAGAAATCATTACCCAGACCCATATCATGAAACTGTTACCCTATGTTTTGTTCTAGTAGTTTCATAGTTCCAGGTCTTACATTTAAGTCTTTAATCCATTTTACGTTGATTTTTGTTTATAGTATGATAATCTAATTTCATTCTTCAGTATGTGGATATCCAGTTTTTCCATCGCCATTTATTGAAGAAACTGTCCTTTCCCCATTGTGTGTTCTTGGCATCTTTGTCAAAAATCAATTGATCGTAGTGTGTGAATTTATTTCTGGGCTTTCTATACTGCTGCATTGGTGTATGTGTCTGTTTTTATGCCAGTTCCATGCTGTTTAAATTTTTATAGGTTTATAGTAAATTTTGAAATCAGGCAGTGTCTTGCCTCCAGATCTGTTCTTTTGGTTCAAGATTGCTTTGGCTAGTTAGGGTCTTTTGTGGTTCCATGCAAATTTTAAGTTGTCTTTATTAGCCTAGTTTATTCACTTGTTTTTGGCTTGAATTCAACCTTATCAAGAGCTCTACTTCCCTTTTGTTTGTTTTTTCCCTCTAAATATTGTCAGTTTTTATTTTCCATGTGTCCACTCTGAATTTTTTCATAGGCAGTCTCAGTCTGTTGACATGACAGATATATCTGGTTTTATCATATCCTATTTTTGTTGTTAAACCTATTTTAAACTTTTTATTTTTACTGTGAATTGTTTGCTTGCTCTGGGTTTTCTTTACTCTTTTTGTTTATTAGTTTACCTTTATAATTATTTTAAAAATATGCTTAGCTTTCTATTTGTTTAAAAGGTGTCAGTGGCTTGGCTTCTTAATGCAAAGTTGTGAGATAAAGTACCTTCCCAAGGTTAGTAGTGATGGTGCCATAATTTGAATCATGTTAGATTTGTTCCGTGCAGTTTTTTTGGTTTTGCTTTGAGGCAGCATAGGTGTTAAAGATAGTCTTGATTTGTATTTCAATGATCTTGTAAGTCTTCTCTAATCTCCAACCCGTATCCTGTACTCCAACTTATATAAACAAACTAACTAAATGAATGGATAACTTGAAAAAATGATTGATAAAATGGAGAATTTTGGGGTTGTTAGCTTAACATTAAGATAAGAAACATCATGAGATTTTTTGATGCAAAATTTCTTTTTGTTTTGTATTTTTCCCATTTTCTTCTCTTTAAAAACATTTATGTCTGAAATATGTTGTGCCTCTTATGAATTTGCTAGCTTTTGAAAGGCTTTATCCCACCCTGGATGGAGAAAACTGAGCTGTTGTTTTGTCTTATCCATTTGCCTTCTCTCAATCCTCTGCCTGTATCCATAGAAAACTGGAAATTTTTAAATGCATGATTTGTTGCTAATCCATTTAAAATGAATGCTTTTCTATAGATTTAATAGTTACAAATGACAGATCAGAGGCACGCTTGTATCATGTATTGTGCGGAGGAAGAAAAAAATGTGTAGCCTACCTGACAGCCTCTGTTTAAAATGTCTTTGAATGAATTGGTATAAAATAAAATCTGTGCCAGATTTAATCACACAAAGAAAGTGTTCTCAGTTTAACATTCTCTTTCATAAAATGACCAATTCATCCCATTCAGAAACTTAATACATTTGTCATTTTGCTCAAATGCAATTTACAAAGGAAAAGGTCCTAGGTTTCTCAAGCTAGAAAGAGCAGGCAGGAAAGACCCAGCTGTTTTAGAATAGGGGCTCTATCAACTGATGTCATGTTTCTTAATGCCATCTCTGGTGCTCAGTTTTAGGATCTATAAAATGGGGATAATGATATGTATCTTCCAGAGGTGAGCAGGCTTAGATAAGTTGGTATATTAAAGTAGCTGGTGTAAGTGAACAAGAACAACAATTTCCCTATCTACAATCCTTGTCAAATGAAGCCAGGTGTTAAGACTTCACAGATAATCCAAAGGCTTCCTTGGAACAGCCCAATTCGTTTAAAGACAATCAGGAAGCTTTTACTCAACAAGCTGACCTTTGTTTGGCTGTCACGAATGCTCTGTATCAAAGGAGAAATAGGTCCTATAGGATTATAACACTCCCCAGCTGTAGGCTTTGGTTTATTTTCCAAACTGCATTTTATTTTTCTACCTATCAGGCCTATAGAAAAGGAATTTAGCATAGCTTTCTTAGCCAAGTTTCCCAGTATAAACGTTCATATTGGTAAATTTGCTTGCTAATACACGAAAGGCTAATAATAGACTCAGCAATGAAATTAAGCTTGCTTTATTAATTTTTCAATATGAAATTTCACAAACAGATTCATTAAAAATTAATTGTCATCTTTATTATGCCAACTCTAATGAAAAGACATACATCATTAATGATATACTTATAATATAAAGTATGTAAGAACATTTATGAGGGAAAAATCAATAACCTCATTAAACATATTTATATTTGTTCCTACAGTGTCAATTATCCCCAGTTATTAGCATATTCACATTATGACATAAAACCAAAGAATAGCAATTTTTCCTCACTGTAATCTGATCTTGTCTATATTTCTTTTAATTTAACTTGTGTTTCATATTTTATTTTATATGCAAAATCTTAATATTAAAAAGTTTATACTTGAGAATGAATCAGAGAATTATTTTACATTTGAATTGAACACTTCTAAGAAGTCAAAATCATCCTGAAACTGCCATTTGTATTAAAATGACACATAGATAAATAGTTTAAATTTCTAAATTCTACCTATAGAAAAAATCAACCAAAATTCTGTCAAATAGCCATATCTGGCAAGTCTTTTATTTAAATTTGGATCTGGCAACTGAATTATACCCTATTATGTCCCCAAGATTTGGTATCCTAAAAGACCACTCTGTACTGCTGTGTATGACTTTCAAAATATTTTCAAACGAAATAATTGCATTTAAACCACTGGTTCCACAACAAAAACGATAGATTCTTGGAGCAACAGTATTGCGTTCTATTAAAATTTTAAAAACTTGTTATTTAATAGGCTTAAGTCCATATGGTTTATGTGTGTATGTATGTGTGTGTGTATTTCTGTGTATATGCGTGTGTTTCATTTTATAGTTTATTATTGCAACAGTTTTGTATTGAAATTTATTGCCTTTTGTAGAAAATATATCATGACATGTAATTGTTTTTAGTCAATGATAAATGAAATTATACTCAAGTGTTGGAAAGATAAGTTAGTGAACAATAATGCAAGATAGAAAAATCTTATCTAGGTGAATAATCAGTAAATGTGATTGTATTTAGCAAATACTGTAAGTAAGTGTTAGCTTCTGTGATTATGGAACTTAAAATAATCAGTGGTTAAGAGAGGGCAAGAAATGAAAAGAAATAAGGATAAAAAGAAATTGTTGTGAAAAAAATTGATCAATGACTCCACTAAACCTAAGAGTAAAGGAATTTCAAGACCTAATATTTATTATAATTGTTGTGAGGCAGTTTGGAGTTAGGTCAAGGCCCTCCAAACCTTGTGATTTAATTCCGTGGTTATAAATAAACCAACAGGAAGCTCACCCACAGCAATGACCCTCCGAAGTTGTAACGGAGTGTAATTATGACCTAGTACTTGGCCTCCTGGGCCACAGTAAATGTGCTATAAGAATGTCAAATTCACACGATACCCTTTGTAAGAGATTTTAGTGGCACAGACTGAAACTTAAAAAGACCTATGTGCAAGCAGAGTTCTATAATTCTAAGAAGAAGACAAAGGCTGTGAAATTGACAGGCAAAATTTCACCTCTCTTCATTTTCCCCAAGTATATTACATTAGCAAGGATAGTGGGCTCTGTATTTTGAATTCTAAAAACCTGATTAAATATTTTGCCTTACCTATATTTTTCTAAGCTTTTTTCTCCTCTTCTACCAAAATTCCAGAATAGAATGCTGGATTTACTAAGAAAAAAATCACAAATTTTTAAGTCATTAAAATTTCTCCTGAGATATTAAAAAAATGTTTAAGGTAGATTAAACCTAGACCAAAAATTAAATCAAATTATATTCTGTGTGCTCAATTTTCTGTAGGGAACCAAAAGCCACTGGAGTGTAAAATTCTAATTAATTATGTGGAGTGCTAATGGATTTTAAATTAAAAATACGTGCTGTTTAACACCCCACTCCACACAGTTTTGTAAGTGGATATTACAATGAAACTGTCCTATGAAATCTGAAATGCATGGGAGGTATAATTGTCACTTCTCCAGTTGAACCTAAAAAGAGCTGTACTCTTCATCAATTTGGGACTCTACAATCTCCTTCTTTGGCCATTCAACTTGAATATTTTCTAGTCCACTCCACATACAACCATGATTAACCAGTGATGTAATTTTAACAATCACAAAGTTTTGTTACAGTTTTTCTAATTTTATTTTAATTTTTGTATTTTGTTAAATTATACTTTAAGTTCTGGGATACATGTGCAGAACGTGCAGGTTTGTTACATAGGTATACACGTGCCATGGTGGTTTGCTGCACCCATCAACCCGTCATCTACATTAGGTATTTCTCCTGATGCTACCCTTCCCCTATCCCTCCACCCCCTGACAGGCCCCAGTGTGTGATGCTCCCCTCCCTGTGTCCATATGTTCTCATTGTTCAACCTCCACTTATGAGTGAGAACATGCGGTGTTTGGTTTTCTGTTCTTGTGTTAGTGTGCTGAGAATGATGGTTTCCAGTTTCATCCATGTCCCTGCAAAGGACATGAACTCATTCTTGTTATGGCTGCATAGTATTCCATGCTGTATATGTGCCACATTTTCTTTATCCAGTCTATCATTGATGGGCATTTGGGTTGGTTCCAAGTCTTTGCTATTGTGAATAGTGCTGCAGTAAACATACAAGTGCATGTGTCTTTATAGTGGAATGATTTATAATCCTTTGGGTATATACCAAGTAATGGCATTGCTGGGTCAAATGGTATTTCTGGTTCTAGATCGTTGTTTTTAAGACTACCTTCTTTTACAGATACAGAAACTGAGACTCAGCATGTTTATTCCAGATGATGTGTCTAATTATCATCAGAGCTGACATTCAAATGCAAGGTTTCCCATCACATGTTAGATATTTAATTCATCACAGCAAGCTCAGTGGAAAGGACACAACAATAAATTCATCTTATTTTATTAATCTTTTGTTTTTTGATTGACAAGTAAAAATTGGATGTATTTATAGTGTACAAAATGATGTTTTGATATGTGTATACATTGTGGGAGGGCTAAATCAAGCTATTTAACATATGCATTACTTCACATACTTATCATTTTTTTTTGTGGTGAAAGCACTTAAAAATCAACTGTCTTTGCTGTTTTATTTTTTTATTTTTTTATTTTTTTGAGACTGAGTCTTCCTCTGTTGCCCAGGCTGGAGTGCAGTGGTGCAATCTCAGCTCCCTGCAACCTCTGCCTCCTGGATTCAAGCGATTCTCGTGCCTCAGTCTCCCGAGTATCTGGGATTACAGGCACGTGCCACCACGACTGGCTAAACTTTGTATTTTTTGTAGAGATGGGGTTTCGCCATGTTGGTCAGGCTGGTCTCGAACTCCTGGGCTCAAGCGATCCAGCTGCCTGATCCTCCCAAAGTGCTGGGATTACAGGCATGAGCAACCGTGCCTGGCTGTTTGCCATTTTAATATATATGTTAATATTGTTATTAACTATAGTCACCATGATGTACCGTAGATATCTTGAACTTATTCATCCTGTCTAACTGAAACATTGTGCCCTGTGATCAAGACTCCCCAGTCTCGGCACCCCCAGCCTTTGGGGGACACCATTTTACTGTCTGTGTCTATGAGTTTGGCTTTTCTTGCACGCCACATATAAATGAGATCAACTGCATGCAGTTCTCAAACATCAGCTAGGAACTCTTTACTCTATATCAGGTCATTGCCAATGTTCTCCCTAATACTGACCCTTTGACATTGCGATGCTCTAAGAAAAAGCTGAAACAATCTAGCGTCAGAATAACTTCACTCATTCATTCATCCATTTGTTCATTTGGGGAGCATCTACTTTGTGCCAGGAGTTGTCTTATGTACAGAAGATTCAGCAGTGAACCAAAGAAAGTCCCTTTCCCTTATGTAGTACAGAGCTTAGTGGAGGAAGACAATTTTTATAAAAAGGAAAAAAGAAACACATGTAATTATATTGTGCTAAGAATTAAGAGGCAAAAACTAAATTAGGGTTCAAATGATAAGGTAAATGGTGGTTGCTGTTTATACTGGTGGTCAGAAAAATTCACTGACAAAATAACATTTTAACAGATAGTTGTAGGACATAGGAGAGCAAATCATGTAAATATCAGTAGAAGAAAGTTCCAGGCAGAGGACACTACAAGAGCAAAGGCCCTGAGGTAGAAGAACCCTTAAAATGAGACATGCAAGCATTCCAGGGATTGAGGCAAAAGGAGAATTTGGGGTGCTTGTGACCAAATTGGCAGAAGTAAACAGTGACCAAGCAAAATAGCCATTGAATAGGACAAGGCAGAATATGGTCTGTTCCTGTGGTATAATCATGGCTAAAGACATACTGAGTATGGGCCACTGAAAGAGTAGGCCCACTCCATTGTCTTAGAAGCGAGGATTACCAGGGGAGGAGGAAAGATGCAGAAGCCAGGAGAGCTCTGAGAAATCTCTTGCTGACTCACATCCCCAATGCCTGCTCTTTTTGAAGAAGTAGTCCCCAGAGCCAATGGCTATCATAAAAAAACACAAAAGAAAACATGTGTTGGTGAAGATGTAGAGAAACTGGAACTGCTGCACACTGTTGGTGGGAATAAAAAATGGTCCATCCACTATGGAAAACAGTGCAGGGTTTCCTTAAAAAAGATTAAAAATAGAACTGCATGTGATCCAGCAATCCCACTTCTGAGTATACATCCAAAAGAATGGAAATCAGGATCTCAATAAGATGTCTGTACTCCTATGTTCATTGCAATATTACAATAACCGAGAGGTTTAAAACAACCTAAATCTCCATCAGTGGATGAATGGACAAACAGAATGTGATCTATATATACAATGGAATATTATCAGTCATAACAAGAAGGAAATCCTTTATATGCTGCAATATGGATGAACCTTGAAGACATTATGCCAAGTGGAAGAGAATAAACCACTAAGCCACAAGACCTGCCTGGTAACAGCATCTGTGTACCAGAGAGTAGAGAGAAGTAGAGGGGCCATCAGACCTGAGCATAGGGAAACCCTCCAAAGAGCCATTCATTTGAGAACAGGAGCTGAAGGTGGGAAGGGTTTTGCTCAGTCGAATGATAGCTCCATGGTAAAAGCGGAAGAAGTTGGAGCAATCTAACTTCAATAAACTCTCAAAATTGACCAACCCAACCCAGTTTCTCTCCTAAGAGTGCTCCCCCATTGAGGAAAAATTTGTGGAAAAATTTGTGGAAGGAGAAGAAAAACTGAGGAAAAAAAAGGATAATAGAAATGAAGGTACTAAATGGTCAAGATAAAAGAGACAATGCTAATAAATCCCAGTAAGCAAGCTACCAAATGTAAATACTACAAGGAGAAAAAAAAAAAGGAGAGCTCTGTGGCATTAGAAGGCAGAGCCCAGGAGGCCAGGCACAGTGACTCACCACTGTAATCCCAGCACTTTGGGAGGCCAAGGCGGGTAGATTACAAGGTCAGGAGATCGAGACCATCCTGGCTAACACGGTGAAACCCTATCTCTACTAAAAAGACAAAAAAAATTAGCCGGGCGCGGTGGTGGGTGGTAGCTACTCCGGAGGCTGAGGCAGGAGAATGGTGTGAACCCGGGAGGCGGAGCTTGCAGTGAGCCGAGATTGCACCACTGCACTCCAGCCTGGGTGACATAGCAAGACTCCATCTCAAAAAAAAAAACAAAAAACAAAAAACAAAAAAACAAAAAACCAGAGTCCAGGAAAATCAATTCCATATAAAAATGAGCTTGATTAAAAACAACAGCAAAAAACCCAAGGTCAAATGTGCAAAATTATGATAAGAAATAACACAATAAGGAGTGTAATATCAGCTCTACAGACAATAAAAACATGTCAGAAAAACGAGATCACAAAACATATCAAAATGGTAAGATTCTATTTAAAATGAGCTATTTAACAAGAAGAAAAAGGTACAGAGCATGAAAGAACATAAATCAGAGTAAGAAGAACTCAGAAATGAGTTGATAGATTAGAAAAAAATACATAAAAGAAAAAAGATATTTCAAAAAAGATGAATAAACTAGAAGGAGCACAAAAGAAATCACAAAAACTGTTCTCAGTAATTTTATTACTGGTAGTAGCAATATCGTTATTTAAAAATGAGTTGATGGGAAATATGAGATAAAGTAAATGAATAATTTTGAGATACTTTATTATTCCGTGAGTCATTGAGTGCCAGGTTTCTCAGTGTAGGAGAAAGAAAATACAAATATATTGTAGAAGGGGTTAAGTTCAAACAAACAAACACAAAACCCTCGGTCCTGAATCTGAAATGAAGTCAGTAGGAGCATATGAGGCATTTTAATGTAAAAGTGTGTGTGCATTAAAGTCTCAGCTCTGTTCACTAAAGTGGCTTGGAAACAATCACCAACTCTGTAATAATGAGCATGCTTAGCAGCCATATAATGGTCTTGAAATGCCATTTCTGCTAAAAGAAGCCAGAGCAAACAGTTTGCAATATGTGACTGAAAAATCGTGATATACCAGATAGCAAAGAAACCATCAAAGACTTGTAGTTTTATATCGAAATGACTGAGGAATCAGCTTGATGAGGCTTCTTCTGGCTAAAAATAGACAACTTATGCAAAACAAAAACAAACAATAATTGCAAATAATTGAAAACCACCAAACATCTTTAAATGCATGAGTTGATAATGATCTTTCAAATTAATTGGGTATCTTCACACTTTGATGGATAACCAGATTTGATAAATGCAAAATCAAGCATTTATCTTTCCTGTGTGATTTGCACAATTGGGTAACTAACTACTAAATGTGGGAAAGCATCTTATAAAAGTATTCCCAATGATAAGAGAAAGAAAAATGAATATAACCGTTTTGCAATGAAATAATGGAGCTAGGCATTGAGCTTCAGTAGCCACTAACATCACAAAAAGCTAGAGAGGCAGATGTCCTGTGCCTCCTGATAAAAGAACCCAGCACAGCCTAGGGTTTTGCCAAGGGGACTGAACATGCATCTGATCAGGTCTTGGGTCTGTCAATTTTCAAGAGATACAAAGGACCGAGAAACACACTAATCTGTGTAATGAGTACACAATCTATGAAATGCAGACTGTGACAAATTCTATTAGTTAAATACCCTGGGTTCTTCAACAAATAAATTGTCAGGAAAAGAAAAGGAAGAAGTGAAGCCTTTAGAAGATAAGAAATTTAAAAGACAATTTTTTAAGTGGTCAAGTCTAAGCCATCATAATTATAGATACACACTAGCATGAAAAAATAATAAACATAAATGATTACTGTAAAAGTGAAAATAGCTGAGTTGACTTATGGCAGGAAAAAGGGGGTTGTGATTGGAACAGGTCTTGTGGAGCAGCTTGTGCAGTGGCTGTCAAAAAGTTCTATTTCTTAATATGAGTGGTGATTTCAAAGGTGTTTGTCTTGTAATAACACATCAACTTGCGTATTTGCTTTGTGTGGCCTTCAGTAGCTGTGTTTTATTTCATAAAAAATTTCTTTTAAAAAATAAAAATATAAAAACCCCAATCTTACAAGGTTATTATAAAATCATGCTGAATTAAAAAACATTTGGTATGTAAGAGGCTCTCAGTGGCTGATGGCTATTATTGTTGTCCCTGCTAATGTTAATAAAGGAGTGGAAGAACACTGCTATTAACATGCCTTTGGATAATGGCATCAATGTAGCTACTAGTAAAGGAGTAACCTATCCTGGGAATGTGCTTGGAACACGACTGGAAACATATTGCAGATGTAATGAGCATGATACAAAATTAACCAGTTTGTATCCATGAAGACCAACACGTGGATACTTCTCCCAGTATGATATTTTCCCTGGTCTGGGATCAATCATGTATTGATACAATTGTCTAGGGGCCTATGTACCTAGATAAAATTTAATTTTATTAAACTATATCATTCCAACTACCATGTTTTAAAGCAAAACCTTGTTATGTTTACAAGTTAAAGATTTTTAAAAAACTTTTTTTAAGTTAACAATTCTGCAGACTCAATATGCGTAAATTGATTTATGAAAATTATCTATGGATAGGTCAATTGATCTATCATCTATCCCATTGTTTTAAAAATTCACATAAGGGCTGGGCATGGTGGCTTACACCTGTAATCCCAGCACTTTGGGAGGCCAAGGTGGGTGGATCACCTGACGTCGGGAGTTCGAGACCAGTCTGACCAACATGGAGAAACCCTATCTCTACTAAAAATACAAAATTAGCTGGGTGTGGTGGCACATGCCTGTAATCCCAACTGCTCGGGAGGCTGAGGCAGGTGAATCGCTTGAACCCAGGAGGCGGAGGTTGCAGTAAGCTGAGGTAGCGCCATTGCACTCCAGCCTGGGCAACAAGAGCGAAGCTCCATCTCAAAAACAAACAAACAAGCAAAAAATCTCACATAAACCAGTTTATTTAGCATATTAATGATTCCTGTGACAGCACTAATTTCACTGTGAATCTGAAAGAAGGGGGTAAATATACAATTCTCCTCTTTCCTGGTGACTCCCACTAAACAATTCCAGCACTAGTTTTGCATGAAACATAAACTTTGGTGAATATATTTTTTTTAAATTGTTAATAGAGTGAAAATTCCAGAAAGTCATATTGTGTTTAGTTAAAAATAAAGCTTAGAATGAAAAAAAAAGTTGGTAATTGGAGTTGGATGATGGAGATGTGGAAATTCATAATGCAGTATTTGTACTTTCACAAGCCTGAAATTTGTAGTAAAATAAAAAGATCTGTTTAAAAAAATGGACGGGTTCTCATTTCACTTGTTCTCTCACTGCTAGGCTCAAGAAGTTTTGGTTATTTGAAATGTTTTCACCAAAAACTCCATTAAGATATTTTCTTAGTAGTGGAGTGGTCCTATTCCCACATCATCCAAACCAGACCCCTGCCAAGAATGAATGGAGATGCTCTTCATGGGTCAGGACCATGATTACGAACAAAGCTTTTAAAGACAAACTGAGATGGATGGTCTACTACTTGGTAGGAATTCTACTGAATAGTCTCAAAAATGCATCGTCTAAAAGTCAACAAATAAATGACTAAGTATAATGAGCAAATAAACCTCAGGAGCAATGCCAGTTTTTGCTATTTCTGTGTTTACTGACTGCTTGAACTTGTGGGTGAGGCAGTTATTCATGAAGGGAGGTTTGTGTCTTCTTCTTTGGGAGAATACTTTCCAATCATAGGCTCCCTGGTAACAATTGCTGCGTGGTTGGGCACGGTGTGCATGGCTAACCCTGTGAGAGTTAAGAAGCTCCCAGGTGCCAGTTGGCTATTGAAGATTATGCAGCTCCCTGCCAAGGCACTGCTCCCATAGCAGTCATGGAAAACCTTTTCCTGATTCAACCATTGTGTCCAGCCAGCTGGCAGGGGTGTGATCACTGGGCTGTGAGTGGGTTGCTGGCAGTGAGTGCCATGCCTCAGGAGCCTCTGATGAATGCTTCATATGGTGGGCAGTTTCTCAACCGTAATTATTTACTTTTGATACCAGTGTGAACAAGGCTGATATATTTATATGATATAAAACTCAGCTAATCTACTTTCGTGATAACAAACTATTTTACATTTTCAAACTAAATTTTATTTACTAAAGTCACTTTCTCCATTTTTTTCTTTTCCAAATAGTATTAATCATAACTCCAGGTCTAAGTAACTAAGTAATCACAACTCCAGCCTAAGTAACGATATAATGAAAAGTGATACTTAAATGTATAATGTGCTTTTTGAGTGCTCTGTTGAACATACTTTATCTTAGTAAAGATTTTACTCAAAATTAGTTTTGACCCTATAGTATGGTAGATTTTAAGCAAAACATTTGTCTCTTAGTAAATATTCATTTTCATGTACTTTAAAGCAACACCAGCTACTATAAAAATCAGACTTCTACTTCACCAAGAGCTATAGACATATCAATACACATTAATACAGAAATCCAACTTTGAGAAATTTGATCCTGAGAAATAATAAGAAAAATAGCCACGTATATGTCACAACTTTATTTATAACTGTGGTTAACAATTACTTAAGTATGCAATAATAGAGAAAGTAGCGAAATATTTTGGCACATTCACACCTGAAATATTAGGCAGCCTGTGAACCATATTTAAGAATATTTAATGAATTTTGAAATATTCATATAACGTTGGTTTTGGATGACTTCTTTTCATCTAGCTTTATTCAATACCATAAATACACATGTATAGAACACTGGAAGAAAGTACTATAAGATATTAATAGTTATCTCTGAGTTTGTAGTTGATAGATAATTCTGTTTCTATAAATTTTCTTTGTTTTATGAGTTTTCTGAAAAATTATTCATTACTGTTATTATAATCAAATTTAACTATATTAAGATCCATATAAATTATTTATGAATCTATGTAATGCATCTACATTTGACCCTTGAATAATGTAGGGGTTAGGGATACTGATCCCCCACACAGTTGAAAGTCCACATGTAAGTTTTGACTCCACCAAAACTTAACCATTAATAGCCTGCTGTTGACTGGAAGCCTTACCAGTGACTTACATAGTCTGACACATAGTTTGTATGTTTTATACTTTATGTACCACATTCTTACAATAATGTAAGCTAAAGGAAAGAAAATGTTAAGAAAATCATTGGGGGTTGTTTGTTTTTTTCTTGTAAATTTGTTTGAGTTCATTGTAGATTCTGGATATTAGCCCTTTGTCAGATGAGTAGGTTGCGAAAATTTTCTCCCATTTTGTAGGTTGCCCGTTCACACTGATGGTAGTCTCTTTTGCTGCGCAGAAGCTCTTCAGTTTAATTAGATCCCATTTGTCAATTTTGTCTTTTGTTGCCGTTGCTTTTGGTGTTTTGGACATGAAGTCCTTGCCCATGCCTATGTCCTGAATGGTAATGCCTAGGTTTTCTTCTAGGGTTTTTATGGTTTTAGGTCTAATGTTTAAGTCTTTAATCCATCTTGAATTGATTTTTGTGTAAGGTGTAAGGAAGGGATCCAGTTTCAGCTTTCTACATATGGCTAGCCAGTTTTCCCAGCACCATTTATCAAAAAGTGGGCGAAGGACATGAACAGACACTTCTCAAAAGAAGACATTTATGCAGCCAAAAAACACATGAAAAAATGCCCATCATCACTGGCCATCAGAGAAATGCAAATCAAAACCGCAATGAGATACCATCTCACACCAGTTAGAATGGCAATCATTAAAAAGTCAGGAAACAACAGGTGCTGGAGAGGATGTGGAGAAATAGGAACACTTTGACACTGTTGGTGGGGCTGGAAACTAGTTCAACCATTGTGGAAGTCAGTGTGGCGATTCCTCAGGGATCTAGAACTAGAAATACCATTTGACCCAGCCATCCCATTACTGGGTATATACCCAAAGGACTATAAATCATGCTGCTATAAAGACACATGCACACGTACGTTTATTGCGGCATTATTCACAATACCAAAGACTTGGAACCAACCCAAATGTCCAACAATGATAGACTGGATTAAGAAAATGTGGCACATATATACCATGGAATACTATGCAGCCATAAAAAATGATGAGTTCATGTCCTTTGTAGGGACATGGATGAAATTGGAAATCATCATTCTCAGTAAACTATCGCAAGAACAAAAAACCAAACACCGCATATTCTCACTCATTGGTGGGAATTGAACAATGAGATCACATGGACACAGGAAGGGGAATATCACACTCTGGGGACTGTGGTGGGGTGGGGGGAGGGGGGAGGGATAGCACTGGGAGATATACCTAATGCTAGATGACAAGTTAGTGGGTGCAGCGCACCAGCATGGCACATGTATACATATGTAACTAACCTGCAGAATGTGCACATGTACCCTAAAACTTAAAGTATAATAAAAAAAAATAAAAAAAAATAAGAAAAAAAAAAAAAGAAAATCATTAGGAAGAGCAAATGTTTACTCTTCCTTAAATGGAAGTGGACCATATAAAGATCTTTATCCTCATCATCTTCACATTGAGTAGCCTGAGGAGGAGGAGTAAGAGGGATTGGTCTTATTGTCTCAGGGGTCTTAGAGAAAGAAGAGGTGGAGGAGGTGGAAGGGGAGGCAGGAGAGCCAGGCACGCTCTGTGTAACTTTATAGAACTACATCATAATTTCTGTCTGGTGCTTCTGCTTTTTCATTTGTCTAAAAATGTTTCTATATGATACTAATTATTCTTTCACCATTTGCTTTAGTTTCAGTGCCTATATCATAGAAGGGATTATGTTGTAAAGAAGTCAAAAGAAGTCTTAATAATTAGAACCCTCTGTCATATTTTCTGAGGTCAGTTTGTTTTTGACACTGCTTCTTCTACATCTTCTTCCTCAGCATCTGCCACGATGGTTAGGAAGACTCATTTCCATCAAGTTGTCATCTGTTAAGTCCTCTGCTGTGGTGTCTATTAGCTCTTGAATTGGTTTGAGATCTCTATCTTGAAACCCTTTACCCTCTGCCTTTATTTTGTGTGCCATATTCACAATCCCTGTCATGGCTCTGTTGTAAATCCTGTGAAGTCATGTACAACATCTGGACATGCTAGCAGGAAATTCCAGCAGGAATTTATTGTTTAAGGCTTGATGGCTTTCACGCCTTTTTCTATACCAGCAATGGCATCTTCAGTGATGTAATCCTAGATATTCATGATGTTCTCTCTGTCGGAGTTGCCTTCCATAAGATTGACAATTCTTTACATTACTGTGTATAATGCAGCATAGAGGTTCTTACGTCACTCTGATCTGGAGACTGATTTAGAGATGCTGTGTTTTGGGGCATGTAGACCACTTTGACACCTTCAGTATTGAGCTCATAGGGTTCTGGGCAGTCCCTTACTGGCACGGTACTTGATGACTTCAGGGACAAAATATTGATGGAACCAATCTAGAGAAAGGGTTCTCATTATCTAGGCCATCTTTTTGCACAACCCAAAGACAGGCAGATGGTGTTTATCCTTTCCTTTCAAGATTCAGGGATTACCAGCTTTATAGATAAGAGCAGTCCTGATCATAAACCTGCCTACATTTGTACAAAACAGTAGAGTTAACCTGTCCTTTATGCCTTAAATCTTGGTGCTTGCTTTTTTTCCCATGCTAATAAATGTCCTTTTTGCCATTTTTCCCCCAGAATAGGACACTTTCATCTATATTAAATACTTGTTCAGGAAGATATCCTTTCTCCTCAATGATTTTCTTAATGGTGCCTGGGAACTCATTTGCTACCTCTTGGTTGGTAGAAGTTCGTTCTCCTGTTATCTTAATATATCAAAAGCCAAACCTCTTTTTAAAATTATCAAACCATCCTTTGCTGGCATTACATTCTCCAGCTGTAGAGCTTTCACCTACCCTTTGCGTTGTCATATAATGTCTTCATTTTTTCTAAATCATATTAGAGTTTATAGGTATGTCTTTCTTATATTAATAGCAATCCTGCATGCACATAAAAGCTGCATTTTCAATATGAGATAAAAAGGTATTTTTCAAAAAGTGTAAAGATTTTGCACCTACTGGTGTAGCTGCAGTGACAGCTCTATACATTTTCTTCCTTTTTTACAATCATTCTTATGTTGAATTCATTAACCTTGAAATGACAGGCAGCTGCAGCTGCAGACTTCAATCTGTAGTGCGTATCAAGCAATTCAACTTTTTCTTGTAATGAAATGCCTTTACTTTTCTCTGCTTTTTGGGAGCCACTTCCAGCATCACTACTGACACTCCAAATGCATTCCATGGTGTTATCCAATTTATGGTATTGCAGTAAACATGATGAAAAATACACAAGAACCACAAGAGATTACTTTTTACTGTGATACACAATTTATTGCAGAGATGAACTAACTGCACATGTGGAGGTGATTAGCATCACATGACATTTTAAGAAGCTACTCACAAACTTGAGCTCACTTTCATGCACGTCCATGTGAAGAGACCAGCAGACAGGCTTTGTGTGAGCAATAAAGCTTTTAATCACCTGGGTGCAGGCGGGCTGAGTCTGAAAAGAGAGTCAGCGAAGGGAGATAGGGGTGGGGCCGTTTTTATAAGATTTGGGTAGGTAAAGGAAAATTACAGTCAAAGGGGGTTTGTTCCCTGGTGGGCAGGAGTGGGGGTTGCAAGGTGCTCAGTGGGGGAGCTTTTTGAGCCAGGATGAGCCAGGAAAAGGACTTTTACAAGGTAATGTCATCACTTAAGGCAAGGACCGGCCATTTTCACTTCTTTTGTGGTAGAATATCATCAGTTAAGGCAAGGACCGGCCATTTACACTTCTTTTGTGGTGGAATGTCATCAGTTAAGGTGGGGCAGGGCATATTCACTTCTTTTGTGATTCTTCAGTTACTTCAGGCCATCTGGGCGTATATGTGCAAGTCACAGGGGATGTGATGGCTTGGCTTGGGCTCAGAGGCCTGACATTCCTGCCTTCTTATATTAATAAGAAAAATAAAACAAAATAGTGTTGAAGTGTTGGGGCAGCGAAAATTTTTTGGGGGGGGTGGTATGGAGAGAGAATGGGCGATGTTTCTCAGGGCTGCTTCAAGCGGGATTAGGGGTGGCGTGAGAACCTAGAGTGGGAGAGATTAAGCTGAAGGGAGGTCTTGTGGTAAGGGGTGATATTGTGGGGTTGTTAGAAGAAATATTTGTCATATAGAATGATTGGTGATGGCCTGGATACAGTTTTGGATGAACTGAGAAACTAAATGGAAGATACAAGGTCCAAATAAAAGAAGGAGAAAAATGGGTATTAAAGGACTAAGAATTGGGAGGACCCAGGATATCCAATTAGAGAGTGCCCAAGGGGATTCAGCATAATTACTTGCTTGGTTGGCAAGTTTTTGGGCTCTATCCTTGAGTTTTTTTATGTTGTCATACACCAGGCCAGATTGATTTAGGTAAAAACAACACTCTTCATTTAAGAATATACAGAGTCCTCCTTTTTCAGCAGTGAGTAAGTCAAGACCTCGGCCGTTTTGGAGGACAACTGCAGCTAAAGAGTCAACTTGGGCCTGGAGGACTGATTAAGTTGTGATATGTCTGTGATACTAGCAGAGAAGTCATTAGACAGGCTACGGAAGGTCGTGACAGAGGTTGAAATGCCTGCTATCCCAGTACCTAGAGCAATAGTGGAGGCAGAAAGTCCTAAACCGACCATCAAGGGAATTAGTAGAATAACTCTTTTTTTGTCGTGTTGGTGTCATGAGGGGAACAGGGAGCTCTTCGGTCCCATTTGCAAATTGTATTTTAGGGGTAAGGAAAACTAGTGTGAATGTGCCTGTCCAATTAGCAGGTAGACACATGTAGGTAGAGGATCCACAGAGGAAGAAGAGACCTTGTGCGAGGCAAAACTGGAGATGTAAAGTAAAAAGGTGAGAAGGAGTGCTGAAAGGGGTGTCTTGTACCCAGACTCCTAGGGATCCAGCTAGGGCGGCAGCTGTCAGAGGTTGTAATGGGGACTGATGGGGTAACTGCATAGAGGAGGAGGTTCAGTTTTCATGGTGTATGAGAAAACGTTGAGTATCTACGAGCAACCTTTCACTGTTATTTTCGGGGCTCGGTATAAGTAAACAAGAAGAGGGCCTGGGAGGAGAGTCTGATGAGCAAGGGAAAGTAGTCAAGGATGGAGTGAAATACAGAGTAAGTGTCTTCCTAAACAATAATTACTGCTAATGTTTTTGAGTTTGTCAGTATTGATAGAGGGTTTGTCTGTAATGTGGAGCTGGAAGGCTCCAATTGTTTCAGTGATGTGTGTAGTTGGGCTTCGGAGATGAAGAGTAAAGGAACATCGAGAAGGTGAAAGATTGCCTAGGGGAATTCCAGTGGGTCTTTGCCGAGAGATACATAAAGGGGCAGCCAGAGGAATAGTAGTTTGTGTTGTGAGAGGTCCAAATATGGGGGGAGTAGAGTTAATATAAGGAGAAAGGTTTTTTAAATAAGTGCGGAGGAGGGCGGCAACTTGCTGATGTGAAAGGTCTGGGGAAGTCTTGCTGGACCTGTCTAGAAAGTAAATGAGTTCTTCAGGAGGGTAAAGGTGAGGGCTGTTAAAGGAGGTTCAGAGGTGTAAGGAGACAGGAGATGTTGCCCAGTCTGTCTGTAAGGTGGGGACAGCTGTGTAGGCACTGGAAGAAAGGGAAACGCAAAGCCAGCAGTTGTTCACTAAGGAGGGATTAGAAGCGGCTAGGAGAGAATGGGTAAGGTTGATAGTGTGGTGGAGATAGCTGGGGAGAGGTAAAGGGTGGCATAAGAATGGGAATGAGAATAAGAGTAAGTATAAAAGTAAAGAATAGAACTTCATCAGGGTGGAAGTATTGGAGGGTGCCCTGCCAGCAAAGATCATCTACCCACTCTAAGAGGGAATTAAGAGTGGCGGTTTGGGGATAGCACCAAGAGATATCAGCTGTGATGGCTTGAAGAAACAGTGTAAACCGGCAGTGTAAACAAGAGTAGGGCATTTGTAAGTAGTTGAGAACGGAGAATAGGAGTATGATTAGACAGAAAATAGTAGGGATGACAAGTTTTTTGGGGCTCGTCCTAAGTGGTGGGGGTGACTTCGTAAAGCCCTGTTGCAAAAAGTAGGGTAAGGACAAACAGACCTAAGAGAATGAAGGGATGTATTAGGCTCATAAGGGTTATTACTCTTCTTCAGAAATACGAGTGAGTTTAAGGGAAGTAGGGGAGAGTACTTGCGACTTCCAGGAGGAAGAGGAGGGATTAGGCTGGCTGTCCGATGGACAGAGCTTTATTCTGGAATGGTGAACCTAGTGGGGAGGACCCTGAAGGCAGACAGCAGTTGGGGTACTATAGATGACTAAGTAGGGTCCGGTCCATCGAGGTTGTAGAGTTTAAGGGGTCAGATTCTTAACAAGAACTGATCATCCAGCTAGGGTGTCTTCATATGGCTGGGGATCTGGAGTAAGCAAGAGAAGATTAGCAGTCTGGGGAATTTCCTGTCTAGCCTGTTGGAGGACTGGAAGATAGTCACCTAGAGGGCTGGTGTCTGTGAAGAGGTTGGGCCCAAGCAAGAAAGTGCGTCCATATAAAAGTTCAAATGGACTGTACCCTGTAGCATCTCGAGGACAGGCTCTAATTCTGAGAAGGGCAAGAGGTAAAAGTACTGTCCAGTCCTTTTTAAGTTGGAGGCTGAGCTTGGTGAGGTGTGTCTTTAAAAGACCATTAGTCCATTCTACCTTTCCTGAAGACTGAGGATGGTAAGCGATATGAAGGTTCCACTGAATACCAAGAGCCTGAGAAACTGCTTGGGTGATTTGACTAGTAAAGGCTGGCCCGTTATCAGACTGTATAGAGGTGGGAAGGCCAAACCGAGGAATTATGTCTGACAGAAGGGCAGAAATGACAGCGGTGGCCTTCTCAGACCCTGTGGGAAAGGCATCTACCCATCCAGTGAAAGTGTCTACCCAGACTAAGAGATATTTTAGTTTTCTGACTCAAGGCTTGTGAGTAAAGTCAATTTGCCAGTCCTGGGCGGGGGCAAATCCCTGAGCTTGATGTGTAGGAAAGGGAGGAGGCCTGAACAATCCCTGGGGGGTAGGTAGTAGAATAGCAGATGGAACACTGAGAAGTGATCTCCTTGAGGATAGATTTCCATGATGGAAAGGAAATGAGAGGTCCTAAGGGACGGGCTAGTGGCTTGTAACCTACATGGAAGAGGTTATGAAATGATGACAGAATAGAATGGGCCTGTGAGGCTGGAAGGAGATATTTTCCTTGGTCTAAGAACCATTTGCCTTGTGTGGGAAGAGATCGATAGGTGGAGGTTTCAACAGGGGAGTAGGTGGGAGTGACCGATGTGAAGGAGAAAAACTGGCTGTGAGGGACAGAAGTTGGAGAGCTAGTTGCTTGTCTAGCCACCTTATCAGCATAAGCATTGCTGTCAGAGGTAGAAGTTGGAAAGCTAGCTGCTTGTCTAGCCACCTTATCAGCATAAGCGTTGCTGTCAGAAACAGAAGTTGGAAAGCTAGCTGTTTGTCTAGCCACCTTATCAGCATAAGCGTTGCCTAGAGCAATGGGATCTGATGACTTTTGATGCCCCTTGCAGTGAATGACCCCAGCTTCCTTTGGAAGTAAAGCGGCCTTGAGCAGAGTTTTTATTAAAGAGGCATTAATGATGGAGGACCCTTGTGTAGTGAGGAAACCTCTTTCAGCCCATATGACCGCAGGGTGGTGCAGAATATGAAAGGCATATTTAGAATCAGTATAGATATTGACACGTAGTCCTTTTGCAAGAGTGAGGGCTTGAGTTAAGGCAACTAGTTCGGCTTGCTGAGAGGTAGTGGAGTGGGGCAGAGCGGTAGCCTCAAGGATAGATGTGGAAGATACTATAGCATAGCCTGCCTTTGCTGGTGAGTGGCGATTAGGCCTGGTGGAACTGCCATCAATAAATCAAGCGTGGTCAGGGTGAGGAACAGGAAAGAAGGAAATATGGGGAAATGGGGTGAATGTCAGGTGGATCAGAGAGATACAGTCATGGGGGTCAGGTGTGGTATCAGGAATAATGTGGGAGGCTGGATTGAAGTCCGGGCCAGGAACAATGGTAATTGTGGGACTTAACAAAGAGTGAGTACAGCTGAAGGAGCCGGGGAGCAGAAAGTATATGCATCAGGTATGAGGAAGAAAATAGATTTTGGAAGTTATGAGAAATGTAGAGAGTGAGTTGAGCATAGTTTGTGATTTTTAGGGCCTCTAAAAGTATTAAAGCAGCGGCAGCCGCTGCACGCAGACATGAGGGCTAGGCTAAAACAGTAAGGTTAAGTTATTTGGACAGAAAGGCTACATGGTGTGGTCCTGTCTCTTGTGTAAGAATTCTGACCGCACTAACCATGCCTAGGAAGGAAAGGAGTTGTTGTTTTGTAAGGGATTGAGGTTTGGGAGAATAATTGGACACGATCAGCAGGGAGAGCACGTGTGTTTTTATGAGAATTATGCTGAGATAGGTAACAGATGAGGATGAAATTTGGGCTCGACTGAAGTAATAGGGTCTGTCTGTGAAGCCTTGCGGCAGTACAGCCCAGGTAATTTGCTGAGCCTAATGGGTGTCAGGGTCAGTCTAAGTGAAAGCGAAGAGAGGCTGGGATGAAGGGTGCAAAGGAATAGTAAAGAAAGCATGTTTGAGATCCAGAACAGAATAATGGGTTGTAGAGGGAGGTATTGAGGATAGGAGAGGATACGGGTTTGGCACCATGGGGTGGATAGGCAAAACAATTTGGTTGATAAGGCGCAGATTCTGAACTAACCTGTAAGCCTTGTCTGGTTTTAGGACAGGTAAAATGGGGGAATGGTAAGGAGAGTTTATAGGCTTTAAAAGACCATGCTGTAGCAGGCGAGGGATAACAGGCTTTAATCTTTTTAAAGCGTGCTGTGGGATGGGATATTGGCATTGAGGGGGGTAAGGGTGATTAGGTTTTAATGAGATTGTAAGGGGTGCATGATCGGTCGCCAAGGAGGGAATAGAGGTATCTTATACTTGTGGGTTAAGGTGGGGGGGGATACGAGAGGGAGATGCGAAGGAGGCTTTGAACTGGGGAAAAGGTGGCAATGAGGTGTGGCTGTAGCCCAGGAATAGTCAGGGAAGCAGCTAATTTGGTTAAAATATCTCGGCCTAATAAGGGAACTGGGCAGGTGGGGATAAATAAAAAAGTGCATAAAGGAGTGTTGTCCAAGTTGGCACTAGAGTTGAGGAGTTTTCAGGGGTTTTGAAGCTTGGCCGTCGATACCCACAACAATTATCGGGGCGAGGAAAACAGGCCCTTGAAAAGAAGGTAACGTGGACTGGGTAGCCTCTGTATTGATTAAGAAGGGGACAGACTTACCCTCCACTGTGAGAGTTACTTAGAGCTCTCTGTCCTGTAGGCTTCCGAGGCAATCTGGCAGTGTCAGTCTTCAGCTGCTAAGCCGAGAAGATCTGGGAAGGAGTCAGTCAGAGAGCCTTGGGCCGGAGTTCCAGGGACTCTGGGAGTGGCTGCCAGGTGAGTTGAACAGTCCGATTTCCGGTGGGGTCCCGCACAGATGGGACACGGCTTAGGAGGAATCCCGGGCTGCGGGCATTCCTTGGCCTGGTGGCCAGATTTCTGGCACTTGTAGCAAGCTCCTGGGGAAGGTGGTTCTGGAGGAACTCCTGGCCACTGCGGTTTAGGCGTTTGGAAGTTCTTGTGTGCTGGAGATGTGGCTGGGGTTTGTCTCACAGTGGAGGCAAGGAATTGTAACTTTTTTCTATTATTGTACACCTTGAAGGCGAGGTTAATTAAATCCTGTCGTGGGGTTTGAGGGCCGGAATTTAATTTTTGGAGTTTTATTTAATGTCGAGAGCAGATTGGGTAATAAAATGTATATTGAGAATAAGACGGCCTTTTGACCTTTTAGGGTCTACGGCTGTAAAGCGTCTCAGGGTTGCTGCCGAACAAGCCATGAACAGGGCTGGGTTTTTTATATTTGATGAAAAAGAGTCTAAATGCTCACTGCTTTGGGAGAGGTCGGATAAAGAAAAAGGAGCATTAACCTTGACTATGCCTTTGGCTCCAGCCACCTTTTTAAGAGGAAATTGCTGGGCAGGTGGGGGAGGGCTAGGCGCGGAACGAAACTGTAAGCCGGACCAGGTGTGAGGAGGGGAGGTGATAAAAGGATTGTAGGGTGGAGGAGCAGAGGCTGAGGAAGAATTGGGACGTAGCTTGGCCTGGCGAGGAGCAGCCTGGGGAGGAGGGGAGAGGTCAGATGGATCTGTAGAAAAGAAAGAAAGACTCAGTGACGCTTGGGGTTGGGACTGAGGGGACAGGCGGGAGGGAAAGGAGGAAGATTTGGGACGAGTTGCTTTGGGCACAGAGACTAGGAAGGGACCGATGTGTAAAAGAATGCCTGGCCGTCAGGCAGCTCAGACCGTTTGCCTATTTTACGACAATAATTATTTAGATCTTGCAGGATGGAAAAATGGAAAGTGCCGTTTTCTGGCTATTTGGAACTACTGTTGAGTTTGTATTGGGTCAAGCGGCATTGCAGAAGAAAATAAGCATTTAGGTTTTAGGTCAGGTGGGAGTTGAAGAGGTTTTAAGTTTTTGAGAACACAGGCTAAGGGAGAAGAAGGAGGAATGGAGGGTGGAAGGTTGCCTATAGTGAAGGAGGCAAGTTTAAAGAAAAGGGAGAGTAGAGACATGGAGGGAAGCGGTTCAGGGGTTCCTACCCTCCAGAAAAGTGGGAAAGGGGTTGGGGCGCAGAGATACGAGGTCGGTGCACGGAAATAAGGGATCAGGGTGCAGAGATATGAGGTTGGGGCACGGAAATAAGGGATCGGGGCACAGAGATATAAGAGGTCGGGGTACGGAAATAAGGGATTGGGGCACAGAGATAAGAGGTCAGGGCGCGGAAATAAGGGATTGGGGCGCAGAGATATAAGGTGAGATGTTCCTTGGGCTGGTGGGTCTGAGGACCTGAGGTTGTAGGTGGATCTTTTTCAAGGAGCAAAGAGCAGGAGGACAGGGGATTGATCTCCCAAGGAAGGCCCCCCGATCCGAGTCACGGCACCAAATTTCATGTGCGTCCGTGTGAAGAGACCACCAAACAGGCTTTGCGTGAGCAATAAAGCTTTTAATCACCTGGGTGCAGGTGGGCTGAGTCTGAAAAGAGAGTCAGCGAAGGGAGATAGGGGTGGGGCCGTTTCTATAAGATTTGGGTAGGTAAAGGAAAATTACAGTCAAAGGGGGTTTGTTCTCTGGCGGGCAGGAGTGGGGGTCGCAAGGTGCTCAGTGGGGGAGCTTTTTGAGCCAGGAAAAGGACTTTCACAAGGTAATGTCATCACTTAAGGCAAGGACCGGCCATTTTCACTTCTTTTGTGGTGGAATGTCATCAAGTTGGGGCAGGGCATATTCACTTCTTTTGTGATTCTTCAGTTACTTCAGGCCATCTGGGCGTATATGTGCAAGTCACAGGGGATGTGATGGCTTGGCTTGGGCTCAGAGGCCTGACACTCACCACAATAGCAACAGGAGGCGTTGCTAGGAAACACCTCCTAGGAAATTATGACAGTAGACACTATGTACTCCAGTTAGTTTTATGAACTTATGGTTTAATGCTATATCTTTACATTTGTCTACTTTTCTCTCGACTGCCAATGTTGTTATGTATGGTCTGTTAAGTGTTGCTGTGCATATGTCTTGTTAAATTTTAACTTTTTTACAGTAGATTTGTATATATGTTATGGTAGCAAATAATAAAATAGACTAGAATACATATATTTTGTGCATTCATGACACATAACTTTTTCTTAATTTTTCAATATTTCTAGGCCATGTAGCTCATTTGTGAGTTTTTCCACAAATGCTCACCTCCAAAAAATTTTCTGATGTATTTATTGACAAAAAAATCCATGTATAAGTGGACACATGCAATTCAAACCCATGTTGTTCGAGGGGCAATTGTATATACATACATATATACGTGTGTATATGTATGTGTGTATGTGTTTGTGTATATACATATGTGTGTATGCATATACATGTGTGTATGTATATACATATGTGTGTGTAGATGCATCTCTACACACATGCATATATAGCAATATTTATTCCCACTAATTGCAAAGCAGCTCAGGTAATTTGACCTTATTTTTAAATCCTGTCACTTGATGAAGTGGTTTTCATATTGAGAAAAGTCCATGCTCCATAATAATGGCAATCTTATGCTCATAGCAGTTACCACTAGTTTATTTAATACTATGGATTTGAGATAATTTATATCATGTGTTGACAATAAAATTCTTCATATCTCTTTCTTCATGTCTCTAAGAAATAAGAAACGTATCTTAGCGAACTAGCTAAGAGACAGAATAAGGTATTTCTATGTCTCTAGAAAAATGTTTTTCTAGATCATTAATATTATATGTTAATGGCTCATCATTTTCATATACTCCCTGTTTTACTGAGCTCTGTGTAAAGTCTTCAAATTAGCATAGACACACTTACATCTCATTTATAAAAGACACCAAGTTTAAACTTCATCTCTGACTATGAGTTTGAGATCTTTGAAGATCAAAATAATAATATAAAATATCCTTTATATATTGTAAATTTATGCATGTTTATGTACATTTGTAAAATAATATAGTGCAAGTTGAAGAAACATACATGTAAAATATTATTTATCCAAGTTTGTGCTGTCCATGTTTTTAATAGGCTCAAACTGAACATTTTAGTTTACTTGTTTTATTTAATTTAGAAGACATACAAAGTTAGCTTCTTAGGATATTAAATCAAAATTATGCTTTGATTTATGTTTCTTATTTTGTGCCTATTAGCAAACGTCTCAGGAAAAAAAGTCCTTTTTAAACAAGGGCCTCAGAGTAAGGTTTTGGGAATAGTATTGAAAAGAGAAAAAAGCCAACAGTAATTTGAGAAGTATAGATCATTTTTTCATTCATTTAGCTTTTTCCCCCTATATCTCAGGTTTTCTTTTCCTTTACCTACCATGTTTTGTACATACTGGACCAGTGAAATACTACTAATGCATCAAAGCTTACTTCAAAAGCCAACTTATCCATCAACTCTTCTCTAATCCCTCATCAGCAAAAGGTAATTTTTCATGCTCATGCAGTCTCTTCATATTAGTGCCCCTACGGCACACCGCTATATACTTCATTGTGTATGTGTGTGTCTGTGTGTACCTGCACAGGTTTTCATATATACTTACTTTCAGTTTGAGGAGAAAGTATAAGCTTTGAGCTCTAATAGATCTTGATTCATATATACATAACCTTGAACTCAGAATATCAGTCTGTATTGGAACTAAAAAGATGAAGCAAGTAGGTTCAAAAATAGTTTGACACTACTGGAACATAGCAACAGTTCAACTATGGTCAGTCTATTATTATTCTATTATATAATAAATTAATAAATATTTAATTTTGTATTCTGCAATGTGCTAATAACAGGGTTTATATTAGAAGTTCAAAAACATTTTAAATTTTAATTGGTATCCATTTTAATACATAAATGACTGTGTTTAGTGTTGGGAGCTGATTATGCAATATGCCTTGTTTTTAATAAATGTCAAACCATTTAGCAAATGATAAATGCATTATTTCTTAATTTGTTTAGCTTTCTCAGCTTATTATTAACTTTAACCTTTTAATTTGTATGCACGTTACATCAGATAAATAACTACTTACAGCTACTCTAGTATGCTTTGTGCTAACTGATTATTAATCATCTAATATGTACCTGCACATAACTAAGTAGCATTTAGGGATTTCAGTAGTAAACATTTGATATTTTGTTAATAATGTATTTTAGTAGGTTAGGGATAAAATCCAATTATATTTTTTTCTTATGATTTGCAACAACCACAAATCCTCACAGAAGTATTTAAGTCTCTTATGATCAAATACTAATTTCTGAGTTTTTCCATATAAATTTGAATTTTGTTTTGCTGGTGTCCATTTTCAAAAGGGTGCTCTTTGTTAAGTCTTATTCACTTGCGGGTGATACTATCCTAAAATTGGGATAGTATCCCAGTTCCTAAGGGAACAAGATGTTTCATGTGATTTTTGTCATGAAATAAGTTCTAGCTTAGAAAAGAAAAAGCAGAGGAGGGAACATTTTTAAAAGTCTAGCTTTCAGATTTCCTTACATTTATTATGACATTCTCAATAATTAATTCTTTATCCATCAACTGCTGTTTATAAAGCACCTACTCTATGTCAGGGACTGGATGGAATGAAGGCTGGGGACACACTGTGAAGAGATGAAAGAACTTGTCCTATGCTCTGTTTTTAATCACTAAGATTCTACTTTTGAATACGGGATGCTGTATACTCCATTAAAAACAATTTGTGCAGGCGGGCGGGTCATGAGGTCAGGAGATCGAGACAATCCTGGCCAACACTGAAACCCCGTCTCTACTAAAAATACAAAAAAAAAAAAAAAAAAAAAAAAATTAGCTGGGCGTAGGGGCGGGCCCCTATAGTCCCAGTTACTTGGGAGGCACAGGCAGGAGAATGGCGTGAACCCGGGAGGCGGAGCTTGCAGTGAGCCGAGATCGCGCCACTGCACTCCAGCCTAGGCGACAGAGCAAGACTCCGTCTCAAAAAAAAAAAAGTGCTTATGTTTTGACTTCAAAATAACACAGCTTGTAATTGTCAGACTTCAATATTGTAGAAATGAGAAGACCCCACAGCTGATTGATGAGATAACCAAGAGATTTAGGATTAAACCTCTATCAAACTTTTTTGAAACTTCTAATTCATGAAAATTAACTAGGAAGTACAAGACATCTCACGACCTTTGAATTTTCTGAAATACTACAGTATATATCCTTTACAATAAAAAGGAACCTCAGAAGGGAAAACACATTCAATTTCACCCCCAGCCTTTTATTTTGTACTCAGGAATAAAGCCCTCCATAAGTAAACTCCATGCAGTGCTGTGTCTGCTAGTGTGTTTCATTAGACTCAATACAGTAAGCACCAAAATGTTGGGAACTGAATAAAGCTGACTTTTGTTTCTGTTGTCCTTCAGTAAGGATAAAATAAACATGTTTTCTGTGGAAAGAAAAAGAAAGCATTCTTTCTCAAAGTCAAGTAGGATAGCCCTTACCAAAAATATTCTGAATTTTCTTTGTGGTTCAAAACAACCTTAATACACTAGATGGTCAACAGGATTAATTGCATGTACAGTTCAAAAATAATGAGAAGGCAATATATTTAAAACTAGTTATCAACTAGTAATAAAGTTAAGCCACATTTAGCCTAAGTAATTGACCTGGTAAACTCTCCAATTTTTCCCACATAGCTATCTTCTCTTATGTGCTTGCAACACATTGCATCTTAATGAAATACACAGCTATATACAGTGAATTATAAATTAAATACTTTGCCTATGCTCTGTTCAACTTGACTGCCTTTATTCTGATTTTAGTCTTGTAAAATATGTAACATTTTATGTACTGAGTATATCTTTCCATAACCAACAAATTATCCAACAAATGTATTCTGCTTCTGTCTGCAGAAGCTTTATAGTGAAAAGCATGCAATTTAAATGGATATTAACCTGATGCCTAGATTCAAAAAAACAAAATTTTTCAGCATTACTAATTGTATGTCAGTTCAACCTTAAAATTCTCTTACTTTAGTGATCTTCCTACCTAGAAGGCCAATTTAGTATTGTTTCAACTTTTGCCACTCTAGTGACACATTCTTCAGTTAAGCAATTTCCTCATCGCATTTGCTACAAGGAACCAAGGATGCAGGTTTGCATTTCCCTGTACATGAAATGAGGGAAAAACACGCTGAGACAGTCACCTTCACCATCACACATTCAGTTTAAATCTACGGTAATAGACTTGTACTCCTAGAAGGCTTGCTGTGTTTGTTTGCAAACTAGCATGCAGTACTTACAAGTCTGTGGTTTTATTGACATATTCCTTTCCATTCCTGTGGTTTTTTAATTGAAACCCCCACTGCTTTGCCCAGCTTCAGGAATGCGGAATATAGAAGTTTTACGTTTACTTTTCTATTAAGACCAGAGGAACCCCGAAGCTCCAGTTCGTGCAATGAAACTTAGATTTTAGTGTTTCTTTTGGTCTCTAATAAAATGATGAACCTTAGCAGGTATGTTGGGAATTATTGCCTGAATTAAATCTGACTATGAGACGTTTCTGTTTCAACCTCTGAACGTGAACAATTGTCATTACCTGTAGAGTCTGGGTTTGTTTCCTTAACAGACTTTAATCAACATTTCCTACTTGCCACACTCTGTAGTAAGTGCTAAGACTCAAACATGAAAAGATTGTCTGAGTCAAGTTATTAACACAGTGGTTGTTATTACTCAGCACCAAGAAGCCTGTGTTATTTGGCTTTAGTACTACGTTGCAACGTAATAGTTGTGTATATCCGTTTCTCTCGTTTCCCCTCTGTCTCCTGTGATTATATTTTGGTACAGACTTGAATGTTCTGTATTGGTAGCAAATCTTATAACAAATGACCGAGGGATTCCCAAGGATTAATTTTGGACAGCTCTTTCCTTTACTCCTCCCCTGACTCCTGCTTATCTCTAGATGTTAGCTGGACCAGTTTACAAACAGTGTCAGAAGTAGAATCTTATTATTTTCTTAAAACATTTACAGAAACTGAAAAAGCATGAATACATAAAACTATTTCTTCACTACCTGGAGAGGAGAAGAGAAACCAAGAGTATATCTTTCCTCTTGTATCTCTTCTGCTCAGATCCCAACGTTGTCTCAACATGGCCTACTGAGAGGACAGAGCCTAGGACTCTTTAATTTACATTGTACCCTGACCAAGGATGGAGAGTAGAGCATTAGAAAATGCCAGAGATGTCCAACATATTTCCTGAGTTTCTTGGTCAGAAGTTCAGCTAGATATAAGAGAAAAACATCTACATATACGTCAATAAAAACTATATTACCCAATTTTCTATAAATACTAATTTGATTTCATAGACGATATGGATTATAAGTTGATTTTCTTGGGATATGTTGAAAAGTCACTTGTTTTCAAAGATTAAAGTAACAAAATTGATTTTGTAATTGTAAGTACTAAAATTTTTCTAGTTTTACAGGAAAAATATAAGCAAAAAAAGTATCCCTTAATTATGGTGATTGAAAACTAGCTATAGGTTGAGATTCATGGTGTAACATGTATAAATTCCATTCATCCTATTAGTAAAATAAATTTTTTTCCTTTGACAAAGTATTAATGATTTTAGGAAGTTTCTTTAAAATACTTAAGTGATATCATTCATTTAGTATAACATTATATTCATTAGTAAGATATAAATGCTTAATCGAACTGTGCTTTCATTATATCTGAGTGATAAATAAATTGTCAGTCTCTCACTAAATTCTATATTAACACAAACTTAAATGATGAGAATTATAATATTTGAAGTGAATAAAGTGAACTTTTGGTTCTATTTCTACTCCTCTTTCTCTCTTTTCTAAGGTAATTGAGCAGTATGTTTTTTTTTTCCTGCTGAGATATTGGCAAAATAAGCATGTCTAATGCTAGTGTGCCAATAGTAATGATACTAAAGTGTGATGAAAAGAATAAAAATGAAATGTCTAAAACAAAGTACTACTGGATTTCTAACAGATATTTAAGGTTTTCCCTATTTCAATAACTTTTAGTTAGAGTTTAAAAAGCTATAGAGGTGGGAACATTTCAGATTGATTATCTATCTGCTCATCTGAGGGAGGGACAATATCATACGCAAGATAACACAGGCTTGACATTCACAAGGAATGATGTTCAGAATTTAGGCACTCATTTTGAGATCAGTTAACCCACATGCAAAAAACCAACCAACCAACCAAAGAAAAAAACTGCAAAAATTTTGTAAGGATGACAAATCATTAGGGTGTGAAACCAGCCTTTTAAAGATCTATTTCCAATTCATATATCCTATTGTCTGCTACTTTTCTTAGTGTGCACGGTTTTATTGACCACCAATCATTGAGAATACAGGTCTCATCTGATACTGATTTGATATAAATTTTAAATTATAAATTAAGCATTATATGCTAACAAGATTATAACCTTAATTTATTAGGACCATTGTTCTGTTTTCTCATCAAATCAAACAAAAATATTACCTAATAGTTATTTTATAACTTGAATGATGAACTCATCATATTCCATGAACCTTGATTTCTTTGTACTATTATTATTTTTTTTTAATTTTTATTTTTTTCGAGACAGTCTTGCTCTGTTACTCAGGCTGGAGTGCAGTAGTGCCATCTTGGCTCACTGCAACCTCCATCTCCTAGGTTCAAGCGATTCTCCTGCCTCAGTCTCCAGAGTAGCTGGGATTACAGGCACCCTCCACCACACCTGGCTAATTTTTTGTATTTTTAGTAAAGATGGTGTTTCACCATGTTGGCCAGGCTGGTCTTGAACTCCTGACCTCAAGTCATCCACCCGCCTCGGCCTCCCAAAGTGCTGGTTTATAGGTATGAGCCATGACTCCCGGCCTCTTTTTACTATTATTAATAATGGTGATGGTCTGCATTATGGTATCTGTATTATTGCCTAATTTGTAGGGGAGAGGTTATGATGAAGACCAATATCATAATCACTGTTGGAAAGATTGATTCAAACCAAAAAGAAAGAGGAGAAAAAGGACTTCATTGACAAGAATGTAAAGGCGACATACCAAAATGATAATAAGAGGATATTATAAACTTTGGTGCCAGCAAAGTTTTAGATTTAGGTGAAATAAATGAATTCCTTTAAAATCACCACTTAATACCAAACTGACGCAAAAACAAACTGAAAATATCTCAGATATTAAATCTTAAACACTTTCCTATACATTCACTACAAGCCCAGGTGGCAGTATGTCCAAAGAGAAAAAGAAAAAACATTACAAACAAGGAGGACCTAATAAATGGAAGCCTATTCCATATTCATAGATCTGAAGACTCGATATTTTTAAGATGTCAATTTTCCCCAAATTTCTCTATAAAATCAGTGCAATCACAAAGTTCCAATAATTTTTTTTTGTGTTAAAACTGCACTTTTATATAAATTTTAGAATCAGATTAATAGCATCAAAGAAGCTTGAAGACTTACAGTACCACATATCAAAGCTCACTATAAAACTACAGCTAAGACAGTGTAATATTGGTGTGAAGATCTATGAACACACCAATTAAGTATGATAAAGAGTAAGGAAACAGACCCACATATGGTCATTTTCTTTACAATAAAGTTGCCACTACAGTGCATAACTGTAAGATTATTTTATAAATGGTTCTTCGTTAATTGTATGCCCACATGATATAGTTTAGCCCCTGTGTATTAGGTTCCAAATCACCACAAACTTAATGGCTTAAAAGAACGCGAGTTTATTATCTTACAACTTGGATAACTGAAATCTGAAATAAATATCACTTGGCTAAAATCAAGGTGTTGGCAGGCTGCATTCATTCTGGTGCCTGTAGGGAAGAATCTGTTTCTTTGCATTTTCCAGCTTCTAGAGGTCATCTGGATTCCTCAGCTCAGGAGCCCATTCCTACAATTTGAAAGCCAGTAACATTTAGCTGAGTCCTTCTTGCTCTGCCATCTTTCTGGCTCTCTTCTGTCTCCTTCGTCCAGTTTTAAGAACTATTGTGGTCACCCTGGGCTCGCTTGGTTAACCTAAGATAATCTCTTCATTTTAAGGTCTGCCGATTCAAAACATTAATTATACAGACAATCATAATTGCCCTTTGACATGTAGTGTAACATACTTGAGGTTCTGGGGATAGGGCACAGACATCTTTTAAAGGGGGGCTATTCTGCCCGCCACATCAACAGGATTGTATACATATTACATCCATAGAAATGTAGAGCACTAATATTAGAAGCACTAAACGTGATGGCACAAAAGTGGAAGCAAGAGAAATAATGTTAAAGAAAATAAGCTAGAAATGAAGGGGTACATACACATGATTCTGTTCACATGATGTAGAAACATGGACAAAACTAATTTATAGCGACAGAAGTCAAAATAGCAATTACTCTTTCAGAAGCTATTGACTTGGAGGGTCCAAGAAGGAGGACTTCTGGTTCTGATAATGTATGATATCTCAATTTATGTGATTATTACATAGATGTGCTCACTTTTTGAAAAAATCTTTGATTTGTACAGAGAAGTAAAGCTGTACTTTGCTGTGTCTACCTCTATCTCCCTCTCTGTGTCTCTCTCTCTAAACTAGCTTCAAAAGCTGTTTACCTATAATGTTAAAGTTCAATTTGTCTCCTCAATACTCTTTCAATGTTTAAGATTCTTCCTTATATGTAAAGTACAACATAGTTACATATTAAAGAGAAAATACATATTTTCAATACACCTCAGGGTACTAAGACCTACTACTTTTAAAAGTATATGCATCTTATATTATTATTTCCATCTCTTCATTTCTCTGAGAGATCTAGCAATTTTTACTTTATGTAATTGAGCTCAATGGAATGATCTTATTTACTCATCAATCATTGATCACACTTAATGATTATTATATTTCTTAATAATTAGCACCTACTCTGATATCATGTGCACATGAATGTGTATTTTCTCACATGTATTTAAACACATATATATGGACAACTGCTCTCTGGACCAGGAGAGTACCTTGTTTATCTTACTGATTTGGCCCCAAATGTGTAGCCATTTACAGCTATTTTAGGTGACTTTTATCAACCCTCTATTCACAAATAAATATGGAATGGGAAAGTATCTTTTTATTGCTGTCATTCCATGTCAACACCAAATTTTTATGATAATGAGAACCATATGTTTCTTGATGATGTATTATGAGTTGCTTTTGTTTGTCCTAAAATTAGCTTCTGTGGGTAATAAGCATTTCAAAGTTAAACAGAGATAAATGAAGTATTTGGTTCTATAAAACATTTATTGATTTCTTTGTGAAATAAACATGCACATCACACACACACACACACACACACACACACACACACACACACACACACACACGAATGCTTTAAGAAAAAACAGATGATTGGGTAGCACTTACTCCAAAAAGAAAATTCAAGTGTTGGTTACCTACACCCCTGTGAAATAGTTTTTTCCTTCCTAGTACATGCTTATTTCAATAAAATGTCTAAATTTCATCTCATTTACTTGTAGTCTGAACAAGATTCATTTTTACAGATTTAAAAAATGTATAAATAGTTGCTTTGAAAACCCATCCAGCATATTCAAGACAGGCATTCAACTCAGATTTATCTTTTTTTTTTTTTTTTTTTTTGAGATGGAGTCTCACTCTGTCACCCAGGCTGGAGTGCAGTGGCACGATCTCAGCTCACTGCAACCTTTGCCTCCTGGGTTCAAGCAGTTCTTCCTACCTCAGCCTCCTGAGTGGCCACCATGCCCGGCTAATTTTTGTATTTTTTAGTAGATACAGGGTTTTGCCATGTTGGCCAGGCTGGTCTTGATCTTCTGACCTCAGGTGATCCACCCGCCTCAGCGTCTCAAAGTGCTCGGATTACAGGCGAGAGCCACCACGCCCGGCTGATTATTTTTGTGTAATAGCTTCTGAAACAGGGGTCCCCAACCCCTGGGCCATGGACCGCTACCAGTCCATAGCCTGTTAGGGACCAGGCTGCAAGCAGATCAGCAGCGGCATTAGATTCTCATAGGAGCACAAACCCTACTGTGAACTGTGCATGTGGGGAATCTAGGTTGCATGCTTCTTATGAGAATCTAATGCCAGATGATCTGAGATGGAACGGTTTCATCCGCAAACCACCCTGTAACTCCTTGAAACCCCCACCCCTACAAAACTGGTTCCTGGTGCCAAAAAGATTGGGGACCGCTGTTCTAAAATATTTTAAAGTCTGATTTTGCCCTTAGGAAATGATGAAGCACTTTCCCATACTTCTGTGTTGATTGGGGCCAATTTTCTCTCCTGTCCCCACCATTTCTACCACTACTTGCCCTGCTTCAAATCTCATTGATCTAATCTTTCTATCCTGCTCAAACTCAACATGCCTCCATCCACCGAAGGCAGCCCTGCATGTTTCCCAGAGGCTTCTATATTTAGAAAGCTCTGCAGAATCCTCCTTTGGCCCTTACCTACCTTTACATACTAAGTGTTAAGTGTAATTTATTTTTTCTTTTAATAAGCGATCTTTCCTGACTGCTGCACTTAAGTCCTATTGCCATAAAGTTTCACGTATGCATGTTCCTTGGCTTTGAAACACATACCCTGTCTTGTCGTACTTCATTTGTGTTGGTAATGTTTGCTTCTCTATCTTGACTGCAAACGTTGTGCAAGTCACCCATGGACATTTTAATTCGCAATGTTATCTGTGCCTAGACATTATCTATAGTGTCTGGCATGTAGTAAAGATTAATCAAATACAAGTTGAAAGACACATTGAGTGATCTGTTAACTCTCTGAAAGGAGGTATTTGTTTTCCACTAGTTCAGCTTTCAGACAGCAAGTAAAGAAGTACTTTCGAAACTATCTTTGCAAAAATTATAACTGTGGAAATTATGACAGTGAAAGAGATCAGACCTAACCAACTCCTTCTTGCTTCTAACCTTTAAGCTGTCCTTGTTCTTTCCTGGGCTTAGGCTGAACTGGCCTTGGGAAAAAATTTAGTTTATGGTGTGACTCTGAAGCAACATTGATAATAGCCCTTTCCTGAAAAGACCCACTTCTTGCCTGGGGACCAGCCTGCCTTTGTAGGACTAACAAATTAGCTGCAAGATTAGAAATTACAGTTTAGGGGTCATGCAGCCTCTGGCTGCAAGAGTCTGAAACTCCCCAAATTGCTCCTGGGGATAACATCACTATTGTAAAACCTAAAATCGGTGCTTGGGATATTTTGCAGACCATGGCACTCAATGGCTCAGTTGACACCACCAAGACACATAATCTGGCTCAACAAGTTTTGCGATTCCAACCAGGGACAAAAGATAACAAGAAAGCCTCACTTTGACCTCCTTATGATTTCATCTCCAACCTGACCAGACAGCACTCCCGACTCCCAACTTCCCAAGCCCCTACCTGCCACATTATTTTTAAAAACTCCCATCTCCGAATGCTCTGGGAGACTGATTTGAGTAATAATAAAACTCCGGTCTCCCACACAGCTAACTCTGTGTGAATTATTCTTTCTCCATTGCAGTTCTCCTGTCTTGATAAATCGGCTCTGTCTAGGCAGTGGGCAAGGCGAACCTGTTAGGCTGTTATACTTTATGTAAAAAAATGAAGCAAATAGCTCTAAATTAAATTATTTCTTCTAAGGGAACATGGAAAGTAACATTGAAAGTAAATGCGTGAGTAAATTCTAAATCTCACTAAAAAACAAAAAACAAACAAACAAAAAAAACAACTTCACTTTCCTCCATTGTGTATCTAACTTTAAGTGTGTTGGGACTTGGGCGTTGCCCCATTCAGGCAATGTGGTGGTGAAGAACATTACTGTATACTTTAGGCTCAACATTCCTCTGCAGGTGTGCTTAGTTCTGTAAAAATTAATGAGTAAAAATAGGAAGCTTGGCCAGGCACAGTGGCTCACGCCTGTAATCCCAGCACTTTGGGAGGCCAAGGTGGGCAGATCACAAGGTCAGGAGTTTGCGACCAGCCTGGCCAACATAGTGAAACCCCATCTCTACTAAAAATATAAAAATTAGCCGGGCATGGTGGCGTGCGCCTGTAGTCCCAGCTACTCAGGAGGCTGAGGCAGGAGAATCGCTTGAACCCGGGAGGCAGAGGTTGTGGTGAGCCGAGGTCATGCCACTGCACTCCAGCCTGGGGAACAGAGTGAGACTCCATCTCAAAAAAAAAAAAAAAAAAAAAAAGGGAGCTCATACTATTTGTCAGGGTCACAGAGTAAATGAATTGTCGTTGCCAAATACATCAGTGAACACAGTTACTGGAGGAACTATTTATAAAGGCAGCTGTAGGGTAAATGGAAAATAACAAGACATGGTGAAGCACTGCAGGGCTAGCACCAGCGGACAGCCACTAATGCAAATTAAGCCTTTAGAGGCAAGAGGAGGAGCCACTACTAGATTCCTGAGAGAGCTATAGGAGAGGGCCACTTGACGGAAGCTAAATCTTCAGTCTTCTAATATAGCCACTCTCAATCTCTGACCAGGTAAATATCTGGACGCCACTCTCTTTTTATCCTCCCACTATCTTGCCAGTTTTCTCATTGGCTGAACCCATCTGGAATCCAGAGAGCTAGAAAAATCCTCAATTCAATCTACAGGATGGAAAATAATAAGGAGAGGATGTTAAGGAGCAAATGAAGATATCAAGTAATCACCATTCAAAGAGTCTGCACATCTTTACTCCATTTCCATTTGTTAACAAAATTTAGTTTTAAAAATACAAACTACAATTTCAGCTCCTATATTTTTGGGGAATTTTTATAATGTAGTAAATTATGGAAGAAATATAGTAACTTTATCACTTACAAAATGTACTTCTTAGTAAAATTATATAAACACACATATAAATATTTTTATAAAGATATGTTATATTCATTTCTACATTGTTCTTGCTAGGGAACATCAGCATTATCTGTGTTGTTAAAATCATATTTATTGTGCATATCATTTTAATGCTATGTAATATCCCAACATGCAGCTATACCATAGATATGAACATGTGTATGTGTGTATATATTTGTCTGTGCTGATAATTGTTTTACTTCTTCTCTTTCTCCTTCTTCTCTTTTCTCCTGAACTTAACTCAGGCAGTTGTGAAACTTGGACAATACTTACTCCTAGTCATCAAATTCCTCTTTTGGAAATACAGTAATAATTGCACTTTAAACTGTCAACAGAGAAAAGGGAAGAAAACCTCAAATCCAGTGAGAGATTGTCATCAAGAAAAGAAGCTCTGTTTAATTAGAAGTTAGAATTCTTAGAAATTCTAATCTGGTCTGACTTTTCTTCGGTTCCTGCTTACTGAAGTAAGGGCAGAGGGAAGTCTGTGTTCTCAGTATTTTCAGTTTTGCTTAGAAAGCAAACCTGTGGGACTTTCTTATGCATAAGTTTAGTTTCATTCAGATGAAAGTTAAATGGAAGATTTTTACATAGAGTTGAGGGTTTCAGATTCAGCACAAATTCAAGTGTGAAATGATACTTGTATGTTAGAGAAATTATCATAACCAGGGGGACTTGCAACTTTCTTCTTCATTGATAACTAGTTATGCATTTAGAACCATTACCAAGCTGTAAGACATAAATTCATGTTGCATGCATCAAGACAGGCTCAATGACTGAAGATTTTAGAATACTTTGAAAATGAATTCATGAAATATAAATTACAGAACGTTGTTTCTTTTTTGTGTCTTGAATTAATCTTCATATAGACATTTTACAGACTAAAACTCATATAGACATAGGTAAATGACTGATAATATTTAATCTATAAATTACAGTGTGTGTACATATATATTATTAATGCTACATAATATCCTGACATTTTTCTCCAAAATAATTGTTGTTCTTGCTTTTGAATGAGCTTTCATAGTAGAATATATAAGAAAGCTCATTCAAAAGCAACAACAAAAAATATATTTAAGGCACCACATTAGATACTATACGTTTAAAATTGTAAACCTATCACTCTGGGACTCCACACTCCTGAAACTTTCTGAGTAATGAATAATCACAAAGAACCCAAAGAACTGCAAGAAAAGATTTGTTGAATTCAGTATCTGGCATTTATCTTTTTTAACAAACAAGGAAAGTATTCCTCTTAGTGGAAATAGAAGCCTAAGGAGTACGGCCATAATATAGCAAGAATCTTGGAATAGGCAGAGATGAGAAGTCCTTTTATAGCTACTGAAGACATCTGATGATGAAGTAGACAGGCTCTAAGAAAAAATGGCTTCTTTTTTATAGGATATCTCAGCTGGTAATAAAATGTTTTCTATATATGAATAAACAACAACAAATGGGGAACACAAGGTCCATTAAAAATTCGACACTTCCTTAATAACTGCCTATTGAAGATACTTAAATATGGATATTATATTGATTAGCCCTTATATAACATAGATGATAAAAAGCAATTGCATGTTCCTCAAGGCATCCAAAATCTGAAATTTACAGTTGCATGGTGAAGGGCAGACATTTCTTGTACTTGAAACAAAGTCTTGTTATGAGGGTAAGAAAGGCAGTTATCTGAGAATTAGAGTTTTATTTTTGCATTTCCCATTTATTCTACTTTATTTTTGGAGTGAATACTTTAAAAAGTGATACTGCAATTTATCATTTATAATGTGTCAGGCGCTCTTTTGTATGTTAATTATTATTCTTACTTAGTTTAGGAAAAATGATGCTACCTATGGTTCAAGTTATAGGAATTCTCTGAGTTGGTTTATGAATACAAATGGATAAAAATATTAGTTTGCTTCTGCATTTTTTATTATTTATTATATAAGAGGAAGCAAAGTATATTGGTTAAGAGTATAGGCCCTGGAGTTAGCCTTTCTGGGTTGGAATCTTGTCTCTACCAATTACTCAGGCAAGCTACTTAATCTACTGTGGAAGATCAAAGATGGTTGCAAATTCTCTTTCCCTCCCCTCCAACTTGGAACAAATCTTTTGACCGGTAGAACACAGCAGAAGTGACACAGTGCCCGTTTCTTTTTAAGTTTTATTTTAAATTGCATAGATTTGTGAGGTTCAATGTAATGTTATGATATGTGTACATAAAGTGGAATAATTAAAGCTAATTAACATATTTATAACCTCCATAGTTATCAATTTGTAATTGCATCAGACCAATCTGGTTCAACTTTTACATAACAAAGTTGTGGGCTATTTTTCAGTTGCCATGGACCTCTAGGTTAAAGGTCACATAATCTGAACATGCCAGGATGAACCAAGCATGTGATCATGCGGGGGGGATCTAAGCACTTGGACCCAGGAATGGGGGCTGAATTAAGATGTATTCACTACATGGCAGGATCCAGGATTCAATCGGATTGCACCCTGGCATCATCCTGTGGCGGGATCCGGTCAGATCTTGCTTTCCAGCACACCTCACTGCAAGAGCCAATCAGATCACATCTCATTACCCTACTCTTACAAAACCCGACCCAAACCCCAGTGCAAGGAGACAGATTTGAGTGTTTCCTTCTTTCTCCTTGCTGGTTGACTCACAATAAGGCTTTTCTTTTCTCAAGAGCTGGTGCCATGGTATTGGCCTCTCTGTGCATTGGGAAGAAAGCCTGTTGATTGATTGGTAGCAAATTTTGTGGTGAGAACATTTATTTGTACTCCCATGTTGCTTGCAGTGGTGCCAGTTTCTAGGTCCATGCTTTAAGGACAGACAACTTACACTTCTTTATTTTGGAACCTCTCTCTGAGATTCTTGAGCTACTGTGTAAGACATTAAACCATCTGAGACCACCACATTGGAGACAGCATGTGTATGTGCTCTGGTTGGCAACCCCAAATAAGCCCAGCCTTCCAACCATTCTTACCAATGTATCAGATGAGTGAGTAAAGCTGCTTTGGATTTCCTAGACCCACCCATCCTTCAGCTGAATACAACAAGTGATCTCCATCAATGTCATGAGGAACAGAATTATTCAACCCAGACTTGCCTGAATTCCTGATTCCCACAATCATGAAGTTTAATAAAATAGATGGTTTTATAAGTCACCGTATTTGGAGCAATTATAATAGTTTCTACATTGTGGATTTTTTCTGAGAATGGAATGAGATACGATATGTAGTGCACTTAAAAGTGTCTGATACATATTATGTATCAAACATTAGCTACCTTAATAGTTAATATTTTTCTCTACATCTTACTCAAGGACTTAGTAAGCAAAGAATGGCTGTGATCTAGTAAACCTAGAAGTTCTTGGATCTTGTGCTAATTCTAATGCAATTTTCTAATGTCTTGGTCTCAATCTTATGTGTAACTACATTGATTTCCCTACTAGCAAGCAGACTCAATGTCTTAGTTTGGATTCCCCTAGAAATAGAAACTGAATAAAGATGTAAATGCAAGGACTTTACTTAAAAGGTGAGAGAAACACTGGTGTGGGAGTTGGAAAGTGAGGTAGAGAAGGGGAGGCGCTTAAAGATGCCTTATCCACAAAGAGATACCATCTCACACCAGTCAGAATGGCTATTATTAAAAAGTCACAAAATAGCAGATGTTGGCAAGGTTGCAGAGAAAAGGGAATGCTTTAACACTGTCAGTGGGAATGCAAATTAGTTCAGCCATTGTGGAAAGCACTGTGGTGATTTCTTAAAGAACTTAAAACAGAATTACTATTTGACCCAACAATCCCATTATTGGGTATATACCCCAAGGGATATGGATATCAATTATTCTACCATAAAGACACATATGTTAATCACAACACTATTCACAATAGCAAAGATACATAATCAATCTAAATGCCCATCAACAGTAGACTGAATAAAGACAATGTGGTACATATACACCATGGAACACTATGCAGCCATAACAAAGAAGAGATCGTGTCCTTTGCAGCAACATAGTTGAAGCTGGAGGCCAATATTCTAAGCAAACTAATGCAGAAGCAGAAAGCTAAATACTGCATATTCTCACTTATAAGTGAGAACTAAACAATGAGAACACGTGGATATAAAGAGAGGAACAGCTTTGCCCAGTGGCGGCATTGTAGCCAATGAGGTTTACCTGAAGTACAATTATTGCTAATTGAAAACTTTTCCCAATACCCCTCCATGACGACTTGAAATATAGTCAGCACTGGCAATTTTTGACCGTCTCTACAGAGACTGAAAAGAAAAAAAAAAAAGAGGAGAACAGCAGACACCAGGGCCTACTTGAGGATGGAGGGTAGGAGAAGGGAGAGGATTAAAAAAACTACCTCTTCGGTGCTAAACTTATTACCTGAGTGATCAAATAATCTACACACCAAACTCCTGTGGCACACAGTTTACCTATATAACAGACCTGTACATGTACCCCTGGACCTAAAATAAAAGTTAAAAAAAAAAAAAGATGCCTTATCAAACCACTTCCCATGGGTAAATAGAGCTTAATTCTAATAGGAAACTCTGGGCGTCAGTGTAAAACTTGTGCCTCTGAATGATCTCACCCAAGGGGCAAGGTAGCCAAGCCATTAATACACCAATTCTGATCATTGATTGGGGCTGCCAGGACGAGGTATGCTGAATACAAGACACTTGTAAAGTGACCTTCCAGTTAAACAGCCACGTGGGCTCCGGTGGCAAAAAACACCCCCAGGAACTGAAATGCTGGTGCTATCTATCAGTCTGCAGTAGTGAGTAAGAGTGTAGGTGGGGGTGCAAAGTCATATGCTGTGGTCAGTGAAATGAGAAATGCCTGATTGTTCATCTGCCTAGCGTCCCCGTGTCGAGATCTTCCACCCAGTGCAACACAGATCACTTTTATTCCTGAGTGACTACTCATTGAAACTGTTCATGACGAGAATCTGACCTTGGCAAATTAAATCACTGCCGCCCATATTTTTAGTGATATCTAATGAGACTTGTAATTAATCCTGAGCTTAGATTCCTTGAGAGACCTACAAGTCTCCAGACTCTCTTAACACATCCAAAAGTGCTGGCACTTCACAAAATCCCCAAAGCTTGGAGAATTCACTTAGAGTGCGGATGTTCCTGCCACCCACTGACATCCAAAGTGATTAACTTCCAGAGGTGGCATTGTTTGAAATCATCGATTTAACTGTCCACTGCAAAGGGACTTGCCTTTTCTCTGTTGAAGTGTTTTTATTTAAAAGGACTTGGCTTTCTATAGATGAGTGAAGAAATCTTTCACACTACAGAACTTGAGTTATTGAATGATATCAACCATTTCAGTCTCCTTTTTGTTAAAAAAAAATAAGGCGGGGGAGGGGTAAAACTATTGTGTATATTTACATGTTAAAGTGTGCAATCATGTTATTATCTGAAACTAATACCATGCTGTTAAAATTTAAATAAAGTGTCCTGAATGCATACAAAATGTTCATTTGCTGAAGGCCATTAAGTTAATTTCCTGGCAACAAGATTAAATGCAAGGCATTTACATAATCATTAGTCGTGAGGTGTAGAAAAGATAATTAAATATTCCACCACATTAATTTATATTTAATTAACTGTGCTTTAGTGATCCTTCTGTCTGAATATTAATATTGTGTAAATAAACAATTAGAATGCATACTGATTTTATTAAAGGCTTATTCTTAAAATTATGTAGAAGATGCAATTATTAATTTAATTGTATCTTATTCTGAAACCTAATCATGTTAATAGAGTCTAAAAAGGTCTATCACTAGCCTCAGTGATGACATTTTCACATTTTATATTTCCAACTACAATGTAGCTTATAGACTTTAAAATATGTTCATTTAGTTCACCCTAACAGTTAATTGCTTTCCTAGTAAGTCCATTCTACGGTTCCTTTAAGTCAGTACTGACACTGTACCTTTAAAAAAAGAGAATTATTATGATACAGTAAGCCCATCATCTGTGGCCACACTCACTTGGGACGTGATATTTCTGGGAAATGACTACATCATATAGAAAGGAGCAAAAATGTAGCAATTTTAAATAAGATCAACCGGGTAGAAACTATAGCCAATGAAAAGTCTACTAGTAGGTAAGATTTCTGAGAGTTTTAAAAGTTCTTTTTTTAAATGTAATGTTAGGGAAATTCTTGCAAAGGTAATCAGACATTACTAGAAGCAAGAATCTACTCATAAGAATTTTCTAGACTCAGATGCCAGACATTTGTGGAGAGCTTAGATGGTAGTAAAGCGAAATCTGGACAATACATTCACTATATCTTAAGGATTCTTGCCTTTATCTGCGTGGACCATTTGGGAGCCAGTAAGTGAAAATATCTAAGTCTTCATTAAACATTATTTAATAGGAAAAGAAACAAAATACCATACGGAAAGAAAATAAAAGTGTCAGTGATTTTTCTGAATCATGAGAGTGTAACTTAGCTAAAATACAAAGTTACATTAAAATATCTCTATGAAGCAGTTGTATTTTCCTAACAGGAGAAGTTATTTCATATTAAATTGTAACATCTCCAGTAAAAATGTTTGTGCTTTTCACATATAATATTTATTTGGGCAAACAATTCAATACCGATTTTAACTGTCTAAATGGAATTTTTAGGGAAAATGATGTGTGGCAGTAGCACATATTTCCTAATGGAAACATTTATTTCTTAAATTATAGATGGGGGAATAATAAAGTTGCTTTTATTTCTTTTCAAGGCTGTTGGGACTTTAATACTTAAAGTATGATATGGTTAGTGTTCCCCTGGGCTGGGCAAAATGTATTCCCTTCTGGTTTGTGAAAATAACTGTTCTATAGGTTGGAAATAATTTCTGTTTGTGTGATAAATTCATACTTCCATACTTTTCAACCCAAAATATGCCAACCATTATGCTAGTGCCACTTTCACAGGTTAAGTTCTGAACTACTTGAGACAACCTGTAACTCGTAAGTCTAAGAGCGATTTTCCAGCCAATATCTTCTGACTTTGTTTTTGCCCCCTCTTCCAATCCTGTCCATGTTAGAATCACACTGCTGACCTCTCTGACAAAGCTTCAGTATCACTCTAGACATTTGGATTTATAGCTCATCCAGGTAACCATGCTGTTTGCTCATTCATTCAACAAACATCTTTTAAAACCCACTTTTCTGGTTTCTGCCACTACCAAGATAATTAGACAACTTCCTGACTTCAGAAAGCATTTATAAATCCTAGTGGAGGGATGTTATATAATACACAGGTAAACAAATAAATATTTATAGATCCTTTTTCTGAGTAACTAAACAAGACTGTCCAGTGTTGGAGGCTGAATACAATAGTTTAGGTTGGACCGGGAGCGGGGGCTCATGCCTGTAATCCCAGCACTTTTGGAGGCCGAGGCAGGTGGATCATGGGGTCAGGAGTTCGAGACCAGCCTGACCAACATGAAGAAACCCTGTCTCTACTACAAATACAAAATCAGCCGGCTGTGGTGGCACATGCCTGCAATCCCAGCTACTCGGGAAGCTGAGGCAGAAGAATCTCTCGAATCCAGGAGGCGGAGGTTGTGGTGAGCCGAGATCGCGCCATTGCACTCCAGCCTGGGCAACAAGAGCGAGAAAAAAAAAAAGTTTAGGTTGATAATAAGTTGAGCAGCGATTTCAGAGACTACATCCCCTTTACAAGAGGAAGTTTGCTTTTTCTAAGCCTCCAACTTCATTGAGGGATAAAACCTATATTGCCAAGCAAGACTCGAAACCAGAAATTATAGGAAACATGTTATTTGATTCTTAGTCATGGAATGTTTCACTGTTGTGATTGATGAATCACTGCCCACAGCTCTTGGGACAGGTGTTCCCTATTCTCTCTGTAATGCTCTAAAACCCCACGGAATGCACAGATCATCACATATAAATAATTCAAAAACAAGTCTCAGTAAATGCTTCTTCTTTCTTCTGTTTGAAATGTTAATTTCCTTTTTGAAGTTTTTCCCACTTGATAGCAGGACGCAGTTTTGCTTGTTTTATTGCCAAAGATAGACTGGTAGAACTGTGTGAATGCCTTCTGTGCTACAGAGAATGGGATTTCCAAATTAAAAAAAACAAAACAAAAAACCATATCCATTGTAGCCAGGTTTTTCAACCTTCTTTTTTATCCTTTAAAAATTGGATGTTTTTGACAAGATCTAAATTCAGCTTCATTGCAAATAAAATTATATTTCTTGTAGAAAAATTATATCCCCAAACTCTCACATAGGTATTTGCCATGCATGTATAGTATCTATTTTATTTTGTTTATATAATCTTACACATTTATGTTAAATATCTCTATATGTCTTCATTCAAATCTTTATTATTATATTCGTGAAATCCTTTAGATTAAAAAGAGGGGGCTTTTTAAAACATTAAAAACCAAAGATAAAATAAGAAATCTCAAGCTCTGCACCTTTCTTTGGCACTAATGGTAGAACACTTCCTAGCAGAATGTCGATGTTATAACAATTATGCAGTTCTGGCAAGCATAAGGAATACAACTTTTAATTTAATCACTAATTTTGGTAATTTACCCAAGAGGTACGAATGGCTGTATTGTATTTGAAATCTTCTAGAAAATTGATCGTCTCATCTTTTTCTTAGAGATATTTATCCTGTCCAAATTTGCTTCAGAGTATGATTGAGTTGAGATCCACCAGGGAGTCAGTGTTAAAATAAATAATGGAGACAGTGAGAAGTAGTAAGTAAGAGTGTGGGTTTAGATGTATGTTTCAATTTAATGCTCAAGTGTGGATGCACCGCACACTCACAGGATGAACAGGACCTCTCTGAAAGCTAAAAGGGCCACTTGGCTCCTAGTAAGACAATAATTGATAATATGGAACTCTGAGAGGATGCTAGTGTCACCATATGAAAGAACCTTGACTTTGGAGAAGGTGAAATTAGAAGGTGAGGATTTGCATCCCAGCTCTACCACATACCAGCTGTGCACCATTGGACACTTTCTTTCAACTATTTGAGATAAATTGGGTATAAAATAAGAAAAAATTACCTATGTAATCAAATATTAAACTATTGATATTTGATTAATATTAATAAAATATTATGTGCATGACAGTCACTAGACAAATTAGTTAAAAATCCCAGATTCCACATTGCACTTCCTAAACTTTCTGATCCTCAGAATCTCAATTTTCAAAAATTACCCAGGCAATGATGATACAACAAGTCCACTGTCCACTTTCTGGCAATTTTATGGTCTTGGTGATTGTTTTTAGCTTATCAAGTGAGACAAAGTTATCAAAATATCTTGTTGCTTTGCAACTTGCTAAGCCTGTTTTGTGGCAATGTTTTGATTTCTTTTATTTTCCTGATTTTCTGACAATGAATTCAAGCAACTTGAGCAAGTAGTTTCACCTTTGTGGCTCAGTTTACATAGTGATAAAATGAGTAGGTTGAGCTAGTTCAACAGTTTTATATCAAGCTAAGTTTTTAGGTTTTATATCAAGTTTATATCAAGCTAAGTTTTTGGGTTTTTTTTAATCCCCATGTTTGATTATCGCATTAAGTTGTTGATGCTGTATTTATGTAAAACTCCATGTTTATGTGTGTATATGTTACTATCATGATAGTGGGATCACTTTTGGAATCTTTCCAGAATTGTAGATAATAGAATTAATTTTCTGTCAAAAAAGTTTAACCAAAATTTCTTTAACAATTGAAGTAGAAAATGCTGAGGTTATGATTTTCTCTTGTATAATTAGGGGAAAATGAAGGGAAAGACCAATTTTCCAAATGACTTCAATTTGAATAGGAAACAGAAGTCTGAGTAAATGGCAATTCTTTCTACATGGAATTTCCTTGTGTAAATAAAAATCTGGCACTAATTTTAGTCTGCTGTCTATTTGATTTACTTGCTCCCTATATGGTAAAATAAGTAACAAATCAATGAACTGTAAAACATGTTTAATTTTACATGGGAAGGGGAATGCATGGAAGATTTCACAAAGGATTTATCATCTACAAAATGTTTTGAAGAATGAGTAGACATTCCACTGTACATTTTTGACCCATTCAGAGGCTCCTTGTTTCAAAGACAATGCAGGGCCGGTTGCAGTGGCTCACACCTGTAATCCTAGAACTTTGGGCAGCCGAGGCAGGTGGATCACTTGATGCCAGGAGTTTAAGACCAGCCTGGCCAACATGGTGAAACCCCATCTCTACCAAAAGTACAATAATTAGCCAGGTGTGGTGGCGCATGCCTGTAGTCCCACTACTTGAGAGGTTGAGGCAGGAGAATCTCTTGAACCCGGGAGGCAGAGGATGCAGTGAGCTGAGATTGTGCCACTGCGCTCCAGCCTGGCTGACAGAGTGAGAACCTGCCTGAAAAAAAAAAAAGAAAAAAAAAAGACAATGCAGGAAAAGTTTGGAAGAATCATTCTGGTAATATTTTTTTTTCTGTTTTTCCATAGGTTAGCATGACTATTTCCAGAAAAGAAACCTCAGATAAAACCATATCTTAATGTTATTTTCCAACTACCTAATGATGCCACAGTGAGATTATCTCCTAGTAAGATTATTCTCTGTACCAATTTTTCCGTGCCAAGTTATCTATGGAGATTATTGTAATTAGCCAAGGATGTGGAAAGATGCATACTGAGCCATAAATGAAAAGAAAAGGAATTATCTACTAAGTGGTAACTTCTTGTTTAAGGGTCCTAAAATTTTGATGTTTTTAAATTTCACATAGACTCCATATCCCAGTTTGCCTATTAATGAGGATAAGATACATTTTATAAAATTTCCTTAAATTCTCCTGGGATGTCAATGCAGCCTGCACTCTGAGGTCAAGTTTCTTCCATTAGGAAGGTGTTAATTTGGATAAAGTTAAACTATTTAAATGTCCACAGAGATTTGATGAAACTAATTGAGTTCAAAATATATTACAAATGTTGAGTGATTATATTATTATAGTAACATATTCATGCACACATAAGAACAATAACAATAAAATGAAACAAATGGCAAAATGAGGATTGTACCCAAGTCGCCTGGCCTTCTGACTTAAAGGAAGATGTTTTTGACATTTAATTTTAATTTTGCTTTAAGTTTAGTGCGTATTTACTATGATAAAGAGATGACAAGGCTGTAGGGTGTAGTAGCATGACATTATAATTGATCTTTTTTCCTAGAAAGCATAGGTTAGTTGGAAATTGATATATGCATAATTTTCAATGAATGAAGGTGTTCATGGAAATAGATCTAAAATAATTGCTGAAAAGAAAACCCCTCATGGTTCCAATCGTGTCAGTTTACTATTCTGATATACTGCTGTCTTCCACATTGTCTCCCTCTGAACATATTTGAACTATATATTTTGTATAGCTGGTAAATTTGGAAACCCATTCTCATTTAGCTCTAAATAATTTGGAAAAGCAAGTTGTTTAGCTATGGGTAGTGGAGAGGCGTTAAGGTGGGAAAAAAACCCTGATTTAGATAGAATTGGAATAAATCCTCACCTTTGTCCTAAATCCTCACCTTTGTCCTAAACCTTTGAATTCGTTGATTCACACTCTTTCCTCCTTGCTCCTTTTTTTCTTCTTACTTTACCTCTTTTTCTTTCTCCCTCCTCCCTTCCCATATCCCTCCTTCTTTCCTCCATTCAACCTTCCCTCCCCCTTTACTTTCTTCTTTTTACTTTCTCTGTCAATCTTTCTCTCTTGTTTTAAAAACTAATTTAGTGTGTGACACTTCACTCTGTCTTACACCCACTGGGTGTTTACGTTGGGATTGGTTTGCAGATGGGGTGTGTGTGGGCAATAGTGAATAGTGATTAAACCATCTCTGTTGTTTTTCTCAGATCTCACTCTGTGAACTGGCTATTTCATTTCTGTGATGGTTCAGATGTTCTGATTGTATTGAATAATGCAATTATTTCTCATATGTTTATTCTTTTAGCCAAGCATTCATCTAAATATTGATGATACTAAAAACTGAGTATGTGTTTATTTACTTATTCATTCATTCATGAATTCATAATAGGCAGAGGGTTCAGCACTGAGGATATAATTGAAAAGCCATTGTCCACACCTACAAAAAACTTAGACTCTACTAGAAGAGAGTATCACATAAGCAGGAAATTATAATACAGTGTGCTTCATGATATAAATGTCATTGACACATGGAAGGATCAGAGGGGCATTAGAAGAAACACTTACAAATTTGGAGGAGGATCCCTGATGGGGATCAGAAAACACTATTACTTTCTTTTCTTTGTTTTTCTTTCTTTTTTTTTGAAATGGAGTCTTGCACTGTCACCTGGGCTGGAGTGCTGTGGCGCAAATTCAGCTCACTGCAACCTCCACCTCCTGGGTTCGAGCAATTCTCCTGCCTCAGCCTCCCAAGTAGCTGGGATTACAGGCACCTGCTACCACACCCAGCTATTTTTTTGTATTTTTAGTAGAGACGGGGTTTCACTATGTTGCCCAGGCTTGTCTCAAACTCCTGACCACATGATCCACCCGCCTCGGCCTCCCAAAGTGCTGGAATTACGGGCATGAGCCACCACCCCCAGCCAGGAAACACTATTTCTAACAGATATTTCATATTCAGCCTGACTTCCATCTGAAGGTGATATCAAAGTTAACACATGGTAAATGAGTTGATGTCTTAGTCCATAGTCTCTAGAAAAAAAGAACTTGAAGCAAACCTAAAACTTTACCCCTGGAAAACATGAATGAGGGAGAAAGGGAAGTAAGCAAAAAGAAGTCAGGAAGAAAATGCAGAGGGGTGTGTAGCTTAACAAGAAAACCCAGTAGGTCACTTAGTGAGGTTGGAGGTAGGTGGGAGCTACATGGAACTTCTACACCTCCCATTCTCATCTCTGCTCTCTTACTGAGCAAAGCTTGCTTTATGGGTCAAGTCCACCGCACTTCTGGGTTATGTTATCTAGCACCTCTGGGCAGATGCAGAGCCTTCATGGGTATAGTTGTGACTGCCCAGGGCACTAGATTGGCCATTGCTAGGCATTGACAGCCTTCCCAAATCCAGAGTCCTCAAAAGAGGCTGAGAAAACTGCAACTTTCAAGAGACGAAACAATGGCTTTGACTTTGGGGCCAGGGAAAGAGTATGAGGTATTACTGGTCACCTCTAGCACAATAGTAGCACAATTGGCAAAGGCCAGTTGGCGGGCAGGCCTGAATGACTCTTAGGAAGTGCACACATTGGTTCTAAGGCAGAGAATCCAGGCAGAGGCAAATGTGGAGTGGGGAACATTATACTTCATTTTTACTGTTTCCTTGTAGTCTCATAAATGTCTACATATGGCCGGGCACAGTGGCTCACGCCTGTAATCCCGGCACTTTGGGAGACCAAGGCGGGCTTCACGAGGTCAGGAGTTTGAGACCAGCCTGGGCAACATAGTGAAATTCCGTCTTTACTAAAAATACAAAAATTAGCTCGGTGTGATGGTGGGCACCTGTAATCCCAGCTACTCGAGAGGCTGAGGCAGAATTGCTTGAACCCAGCAGGCGGAGGTTGCAGTGAGCCGAGATCACACCATTACACTCCAGCCTGGGCGACAGGGTGAGACTCCATCTCAAAAAAAAAAAAAAAAAAAAAAAAGTTTACATATATTACACATATAAAAGGTAATAATAGAGGTGATTAGGAAGATAGGTATAGCCAGAGCCTACAGGGAATTATATGCCAATTTGTACTTTTTCTTGAAGAAATTGGGAAACCATTGTAGTACATGGTAAGCATTTACAATTTAAAATATTTATAAAACAATATGTCTAACTCCAATAAATTAGTTCTAATTCAACCTTTATATCATCACATGTACTGGGCTCTAGATGCCAGTTAAAACCTGTACATGAATCATCACCACAAAAACACTAATGATAAAAAACACCAATATTAATTTTTACTGTATTACCTTTTATAGATGTATCCTCATATGTATAATGAGGATATTAGCAATGTCTTCCATGGAGCTATGGTGTGAAGGATTTACCCACCATTAAGGAATTATTCAATGATGCTTGTGAAAGCACAGTAAAGAAAAACCTTATTCAGCCCCATCGTGGTACACATGGGACCATGGTAATGGGTTTTTCCAGTGGGGGAGCAATTGGGCTCAACTCCAAACATAGCATGGGCAAGTAGAAATGTATAGCCAAGGAGCAGGGTGAGGGTCAGTAATTGGAAAATGACTAAAAGGAAATATCAGAGCTAAGGGGGATTCTGGCTAAACCAACCTAACAGGATTCTAGCTGAAGACAAGCCAGGGTGATCAGACATCATCTGAGGGGTGGTGAAGGATGAGGCACCTGATCAGATATCAAGGGTGGTCAGATACCCAAGGTGAGGAGTTCTTGCTAAAATGATTTGTCAGGGCTCTTTATCTAAACTGGATTTTACAAGGAAATGCACAGATGAGCCTAGGTGAAGATTCGATCTAAGGTTTTGACTGAAGTTTGGCCAAGCGAAGAATCTTTGTTACCATCATCTCACAGAGAGTAACTGTCAGGCAGGGTCTAAATCTAAGGCTGACCTTATCCAGATATTGGGCCTTTAACTGTGTAGCTACACTCTGTTCCTATAGCTAGTATAATGCCCTGCACCAATACTCAGTCACACATTTTAATATTTGTCCCCTAAAGTATCATGTCACTTTCATACTTTTTTCATTTTTAACATATGTGAATCCAGGAGCCAATTAGGTGTTAGTAAATGATGAAAACACTAAAGCTGTGGTATAGGTTGACCAGCGACATTCGGCTGCAGTTTGTTTGGCTATAAAAAATATATATATATAAACACAGACAAAGACCTAGAGGTAGATGCACACAGACATGCATACATAGACAGATTTTCTTCTTGATCTTCTTTTGAAAATCAATAATTTTGAATACTAAGCAGCTAAATTATTCAAATGAATCTCGGATTATCTGATGCCTTAGAACTGTTTTCTTCCCTCCAAGGTACATTCTGAATAGATTGACTATTTGACTTTAGGACTAAAAAAGTAAATCACCTCCTTGTCTCTTCAATTGTTATCACCTTCTTTCATATCTCTGTTTGCATTGCTGTGTATTTCCTGAAGCAAACAAAGAAACAAAAAAATTTATTTGTGTATAGTAATTGCAGATTGTGATTGATAAAAATAAATGCCAACTTTAGGTGGAGTCTATTCTCTTCCTGCAGGTGAAATTATGTAGAAGGTTTAGATTAAAGTGCAAAAAGCTTTGCACATTAATTTAAGAGAATATATTTACTATAACTGAGTATTTTAGTTAGACTTTTCTCTAGCTACTTCTAATATTAAGAAAGGCATTCTTATTTACAATTCAATCATCAACTCTTGCTTACATTTAGTAGCAAGCATTATACAAATGTAACTTCAACTATGTAAGGATTTCCCCTTAAAGTGTAGTCAAGCCCATCTTATCTCTCTACTTTTCTTGCATAGAATCTACTTAAAAGGAGTTTACAATTCACTGCCTACCCTACCTTGCCCAGCTATGCCTCAGCTTCCTGTATTCTTACTTCCTACATATTCATTGTTGCCCAGAAACTTCCCTCACTAATGCATTGATGATTTCTCTTGGTATAGTTTAGTGAATAATATTAGTTTTTATTTTAGCTGAACTCCTCATGGTCTTTGACTTTGATTTCTCTCGCCTGCTTAACACTTTGTGACTTGTGCTTCTTTGACACGCTGCTCTCTTATGGTTGTATTTGTGCCTCTAACAGTGCATTTTTAGGCTTTATTCTTAGATTCCTCTCTCACCTACTTACCTAGGAGGAATTCCCATCTTTTCCCTATGTCCAGCACCTTTGCTTCCTGTACACACTCTCTCCAGAGGAAAATTCCATCCACTCAAATTCCATGATGATCTTAAAACACGACTCTCAAATATTTCCAAAGCAGACCTCTTTCCTGCAATCCATTTCCATGTTATTTCTGTCTTCCTACTTGGAATCTTAACTAGAACATCTATGGGTACTTCTACTTCAAACTTTGTGTGTGTGTATGTGTGTGTGTGTGTATCTCCTACAGAACTGGGTTGTTCCAGATGAGTTTCTGGCAACTTTAAAGAGACAAAACAGGAATGATAATATAGATTTTTTTTTCTTTTCTTTAAAATCATATGTACTAAGTACTGTGAATGCTTTCTTCTAATTTTTATGGGTTTTTATTGTTTCTTCGGGGTTTTTTTGTATCCAACAACATATCTTTAGACTCGTGCATTTAAAAAATGTTTTATAAAGTACTTTCTGGACTATGAACTATTTTACCTATCTAATTATCATCTTTTTACTTGTAAAGAACATGGCTGCGCTTTGGCCAAGGATAGGTCAAGGTAAACATCCAGAGTGACTCAGCAAGTTTGGAGCTCAGGCGTGTAACTCCACTTGTTATCATAGCATGTAGCCATAACGTGGAAAGGCCATCCCTTGGTTCTAAGCCTCTATTGTCTGTAAAAGGTATAATTGCCCTGCCTACACTGTACAGGCACATTGGTGCCCAGAGAAAGAGAGAGAGAGAGAGAGAGTCAGAGCTGTCCATCTTTGCAAACAAACAAGGGGTTGGGGGGCAGAGAGTGCAGGATACAGCTTGGCTCGCTTGTGCCCAAAGAGAGAAAGAGTTAGGCTACTGACCCTGAAGGCAAGGGAGAGCCAGCTGCGCAGCCGTGTGTGTGGGAGCCATCAGACTATGCAGCCAAGACAGGATGGACAGTGTGAGAAAGCTGCTGATGAGAGCTGCTGCTGAATAAAATAATCTTTCACCTGCCTACCCGCCGCACCCCCCACCCTCCCGAGTGTTCTTTCTGCTCATCCACCCACTCCCTCAAACCTTAGCATGGTCTGAAACCTGACCCTGAGCATGACATTACTGTATTTCTATAATATTTTTTCTGTACCTTTCCCTTGTTGTGCTACCATAAGCACATCCCTTGCATATTTCTGTGATCCATGCCACACTGTATCATAGCCACATACTTAATCTTTTGTCTCTTATACTATGAGCTGCTTGGGTGAAATGAGTTCTTTTTGCCTCTATCGGTATCTCCTATGCAGGCTAATATTGGTGATAGATATAGGTCTATTCAGTGTATTTAGCTGCTGCCTAGTATTCTATCATATGAATACATTACATTATATTTATCAATTCCCAGTTAATATGCTCTTCAGTTATTCTCATATTTCATTGTTTCAAATAATGCTGCAACGAATATTCTGATGGTTTTCTAATCCCCAGTTTTCTTTTTATAAATATATTTAAATTAAGAACACTTGCTTAAGTACTAGGATGTTGTATTTCTTTTTAAAATATGGGAAACAAATGTATTTTTTAGCTGTTAGCAAAATGTAAATACTCCTATTTAGATAAGCCAGCTTAGTGTTTATGGTTGGCTAGATACTTTTAAGGATCTTACACTGGGTCCTATTATATACATGTTAACATGCCACCCTTCATTCTTAGTGTGTGTGTGTGTGTGTGTGTTTATATCTATATATCTATATAGATAGATATAAATAAAACATCAATATAGAATATATATTATATATATTCTTCGTGTGTGTATATATAACATTAATATATAATATATATAATTAATGTTACTGATCACATTGCTTTGTTTATAATGTTCATCTGCTTATATTAAGTATTTTTTTATCCTTACGCACATTTTGAAAAGGACTGTGGCTGAAACCATCATAATAAAACATATCCCTCTTTGTTCAAAGACCAGCTTATGTCTCTGCATTAATTTTCCTTCTTCTCTTTCACAGATAATTAATAGAAGATACTGGGAAGTACTTAACTTTACTTCAACCTATTTGAAGTTTATTACCCTTGTGACTCATGCATCACCACCACCAAAAATGGATAAACTGTAAAATCTACCAGAATAAATCCCCCTTTCAAAAACTGCAACTCCCAAACCTGCTAACAGTACATTTTCAGACTGCCCTCTCCAATAACTGTTTCCCACAGAGCAAAAAGCTTTTAGTGCATTGCAAATGATGCACTCTTCTCAGAAGCTTGATTCTCAAACTCTCATTTCTGATATGCTTCAGGTTGCTGCACTCTGATCTACTCATTCAGTGCTCTCTCTTCATGCCATTAATATGAAGCTTTCTGTTTTGACATTTAGTTGTTTCAGGAAATGGGCATTTGATTCGTGGAAGAAAAATCTGTATCTCTAAGAGAGCTGCATTGAAAAAGAAATAAAGGCGTAGTGTATTAAAACCCTGCTTATTTAGCAACCCTCTTAATTTCAGTGAATTGTTTAGTAGGTTTTATGCTGATAAAAGTCTGCATCATGATTCATTTTTCTTATGTTCCTTCCTAGATGCACTATCTTTCCATCTTTCACTCATTGCTGCACATTTTTTTCTGGATAGTGTCTTGCTTCTAATCAATCTTCTTACGATTTCTCTCCCACCCACCACCCTTTCTTGTACCCAAGGCTAATTCTTGATGTCTTCGTTGCATGGTGCAACAAGGAAAGTTGTTCTCAGCTAATATTTCATATGCGCCCCCAAATCTATCAGATCCTTTGCATTAAGGCAGGTCCACATTAGTTCTTGATGATGGGCTATTGGTGAGAGCAAAATAGGGAACTTCAATGGAAGCACGGAGGAGGGGTTAGAGTATGCTACCCTCTGTTGGTTTCTTTTTTAGCCAATGGAGAGCCTGGTCCCTGAATGACCTTGAACAGTACATGACAACATGTGATAGACAAATGGAAATAAAATCTGTTTTGTTGAATCCCTCAGATTTAGGGGGTAAATTGTTCCTGAAGCATACACTAGCCTGTCTTTGCTAGTGAACAAGTCATAGCTCTCTGGAGTCTTTCGGTTAGAGATCCAAAAATTGTTTGTTTCTCAAAGTCTTTCAAAATCAAATTTCACTCTCCTAATTTCATAGAACTTTATTCTGGATAATCTAATCTATTCAAATTCTTCTGTCCTTGACTCTGTTGTTGTTTTACTTTATTTTAATTTTATTTTTTCTATATTACTCTTTTGCTCACAGTCTTTCAATTGTTCACCATTGTTCTTAGGATAAATTTCAAACTCCTTTATAAAGCTTATAAAGTCCTTTTTGTTCTGGTTGTTCCTACATTTTCAGCTTCATTGTTTGCTGGTCTTCTGTTTTCCTTCTCTTTTTCCAGCCTGGAAGCCTTTTCTCCCTATCACTACCCCCAACCTACATACTGCTTTACCACCTCTGTTTTGTGCTACTATAGCACATCCCTGGCATACTTCTGTGATCAGTACCACACCATATCATAGCCACACGCTTAAACTTTTGTCCCCTATACTGTGGGCTGCTTGGGTGAAATGAGTTCTCTTTGCCTCTATTGATATCTCCTTGCATGTTGATCCTTATATGTGATGTCTGCTGTACATGTTGACCTGTATTTACAGGTTTCCACTAAACAGTGAGTTACTCAGAGACACCTGTTCTTGTCTCCAGTTTAGGACCTTTTGCAGATACTGCTAGGCAACATTATACTTGCTTCACCGTAGCTTTCATGCTGTATTTTCATTGTTTGGTTGCTTCTTCATACATGACACTAACTTGTAAGCTCTGCTTCAGTCCCTCTTGTTGGTGTGTGTTTTTAATGGCCAGCACGGGGCCTGGAACATGAAGAATGTTATTTAGAAACACTCTTAATTTCAGTGAGTTGTTAAGTAGGTTTTATAATGATAAAAGTCTGCATCATTTTGATTCAGCAGTGCACTGATCAAAATGTATTCTTCATGCTGGCGAAGGCTGTTCCCTTTTCTCTAAATGTTTTCTCTTCCCAGTACATATCATGTCTCTTCCAGGGGGCCTCCTGTATGATTTTATCCCACCGAGTTCTCTTAGTTTGAGATACTCTTATAGACTTATTCACTACTATCCATTTTAGTATTCTTTTCAACCTTAGTTGTTTAATTGCCTGAGTGTTTTTTTCCCAGTTATAACCTTTGTAAACAGGGTCGATTTAGAGTAAATTATGGTATTCAACAGACACTTAGCTTGATCTAAGTAGTATGTTGGAACATAAGTATAAATGAGGAAATGGTCTGTCCTCAGGACATTCGGAATCTAATAGATAAAATATAAGCAGATACACAGAGGTGACGATTTTACTTTTATAATAGATGTATGAGCAATGATCTGTGTGCCAAGATAGTGTAACTGCAAAAAATATTTTAATGTACAAAAACCATAGAAAACCTTTTAATAAAAAGCAATACATGAAATCATGGAAAGTAGAGTTATTCACATTGATTGTCAATCCTGGTCAAGTGAAGTAAAACCTCAGAGAATAATTTTATTCAGAATTTCTTGAACTAGGCACAGTGGCTCATGCCTGTAATTCCAGGACTTTGGGAGGCTGAGGCAGACAGATCACCTGAGGTCAGGAGTTCAAGACCAGCCTAACCAACATAGTGAAACCCCATCTTTACTAAAAATACAAAAATTAGCTAGGTGTGGTGGCAGGCATCTGTAATCCCAGCTACTCAAGAGGCTGAAGCAGGAGAATCTCTTGAACCCGAGAGGTGTAGGTTACAGTGAGCCAAGATTGTGCCACTGCACTGAGGCCCAGGTGACAGAGTGAGATCTGTCTCAAAAAAAAAAAAAAAAAAGGAATTTCTGAGTTCTGTTTTCATTATTTGGAAGGAAAGAAGGAAGGAAGGAAGGAAGGAAGTCAGTCCCATTGCTTTCCATCTCTTTTTCTTTAACTATTTCTTTTTACTTTACTGTTCTTACTTTTCTTTCTTCCCAACTTGCCATTTCAAGCCCCACCTACTCTACTCTCTAAAGATAGTTTTGATCATTTCTAGCCTTGCTGGTTCTATCCTCTCCACCCCAATACACACACATACACACACAATCTAATTAGCTAAACCATTTTTCCATCCTTAAATACTTCTCCATTTTTTTCTATATCCTTCTTCATCTTGGCCCAGTTAAAAGTATGTGGACAATAAAAATAGTGACATTATTAGTATTTCACTTGTGATCCAAGACTGTGCTAATTTTCTCTGTAGATGAATTTGTGATGCTTTAGAAAGATCATTCAATCTTCAGAGATATGTTGATTCTAAGTAGAAAGAGATAAAATACCTACTACTGTATCAGCACTGGGATAGTCATGAGAAAAAATGTAGATTAATGCCCTTACTAAGCTACTAAGGAAGGTGGTTTGTAAACCAACAGAGAGGTAAAAAGCCCAATTTATATGACACAGACTCTATTTAAAGAAAACTTAATTTTATATTATGAATATTCACTCTCCTATCTTATTCTGAACATAGGAAATAGCTCAGAGTTGTATTTATTTATTCCTCACTTTGTCCCAAAAAGGGATTTAAGATAGCTTATGAGGATATTAAAATACATCAAAGCACGTAATTAGAAATAGGTGAGAAAGTAGAAAAATAACAAGAGCAGCAACCTGATGGAGAACCAGAAATAGGGCAAAATAGAAGTATACTTTCAGAAAGTTTTATATACTTGCTACTATTTCTAAAATTTTCAGCAACCCATGTTGAAAAAATTTAATCAGCTATGACATTCATGATATTCAGAATATCAAAACAAACTATTGAGGAAGAGACGGTCAAATGAGGTAGGGTATTCTCCCAAGAGGGCTCAGGAAAGACACTATATAATATAATGCATAGCATTATCAACAATATTCACAACATCTTTGCAGTAACCATGGTGAGTTCCATAAAGCAGCTCCCTGTAGCATTCTTCTATATAGGCTGATGGTACCATATTAAATTAAAATTCAATGTAAGACACTGTTGTTCCTTTCTGTAGGAGGGGGTGGGGATGGAGGAGTAAGAAAGTCTAGCTCAATATGTAACAGTTTACTGGTCTGGCTGAATTATTGGTGGGGATTATAGACTACTGAGTGCAATGGGTTGTTATCATATTCTTCACTGAATCCTCAATAAGTATTATTTCAAACTGTTGCCCTTTATCTATGTAAAATTTGACGGCTATTTATTTGCCAATGAAATCAAAACTTACCTGACCTAACAGATATTCCAGTTAATAAGTCCAGAAAAGCCTTGCCTTGGTTGTGGGAAAATATAGGCAAAGGCTATAAACACTTAGCAATGGCTTTTAATCTACCAAACAGAAACAGGAGAACAAATATGTCTGAGGATAATAGAGAAAATACGCGTAAAATACTCTTTAAGGATATTGCCATACTTTTCAAATTTCTGTTAATTAATGTCTATCTAGATGTGGGCCTGTGAAAATTAGAGGGTGAGATCTGGGAGGTGAATCCTCAAATTTAGACATGGAAGAACTGAGTTTTATTTCTAGCCTTGAAATTAGTTCACTTAATTATGTTGTATCTCAATTTTACTATGTAATGACGGCTCTAGTATTTCCTCCTCCAAACATCTTATGACTGCATTGTCAAGTTGATCAAGTTGTTGGCATTACACAAGATTTCCACCTGGTCACAGGGTTCCACTGAGCATAATCAAACAAAATTTAAAATATACATAAATGATACTTTTCAAAAGTATCAGTCTTGTCATTGAACTGTATCTATTCCACAGTTACAGGCATGGAGAGGCAGAGACTCTCCCTTGGACGTAATTCTTTGCCTATTCTCTGCCTGAAAAGTTGCCCCTTCTCTTTGTTGACTTTCAGTCCTCAAGGATAATTTGAAAGGTGGAGCTTATGGGAGCCCTAACATGGTGATGTGATGTCTGTTTTCTAATGCTCATTTGGCCACTCACAGATGTCACATTCAACAATTTTATTTCCCCTTTGTGAGAATCAGTATCTTCCATGGAAAATCATAGATTGAATTGAACTGAGTTTTTTGATGATATGACAAATTTTCTGATCTTAACTATAAAGCTCATTATAAGAAAAGTACTTGGAGAAGACAAGACACCCATTGGATGAAATATTTATTTTGTATCAGGCATGTTGATATTTATCTAAACCTAACCATAATCCTTGAATAAAGAAGAACTGCAGCTATTTTTTTGAGAGACTTATTTACTACCTCTCAGCATCAAAATTATGCAGCTAGTGACTGGTAGAGCCCAGATTTCAACCCAGATATCCTGTTTCAAGCCCCCTACACTTTCACAGACGATGCTACCGTTCACTTTTTAAGATCACAACCAAAAGCTCTTTACATCTAGGGCATCCAAATAGTCTCGAATTTTATCACATTTCTTTTTTTTTTTTTTTTAGATGAAATAAAGTTTATATCTTTATTTTTATTTTTATTTTTTATTTATTTTTTATTATACTTTAAGTTTTAGGGTACATGTGCACATTCTGCAGGTTAGTTACATATGTATACATGTCCCATGCTGGTGCGCTGCAGCCACTAACTCGTCATCTAGCATTAGGTATATCTCCCAATGCTATCCCTCCCCCTTCCCCCCACCCCACAACAGTCCCCAGAGTGTGATATTCCCCTTCCTGTGTCCATGTGATCTCATTGTTCAATTCCCACCTATGAGTGAGAATATGCAGTGTTTGGTTTTTTGTTCTTGTGATAGTTTACTGAGAATGATGATTTCCAATTTCATCCATGTCCCTACAAAGGACATGAACTCATCATTTTTTATGGCTGCATAGTATTCCATGGTGTATATGTGCCACATTTTCTTAATCCAGTCTATCATTGTTGGACATTTGGGTTGGTTCCAAGTCTTTGGTATTGTGAATAATGCCGCAATAAACATACGTGTGCATGTGTCTTTATAGCAGCATGATTTATAGTCCTTTGGGTATATACCCAGTAATGGGATGGCTGGGTCAAATGGTATTTCCAGTTCTAGATCCCTGAGGAATCGCCACACTGACTTCCACAATGGTTGAACTAGTTTCCAGTCCCACCAACAGTGTAAAAGTGTTCCTATTTCTCCACATCCTCTCCAGCACCTGTTGTTTCCTGACTTTTTAATGATTGCCATTCTAACTGGTGTGAGATGGTATCTCATTGTGGTTTTGATTTGCATTTCTTTGATGGCCAGTGATGATGAGCATTTTTTCATGTGTTTTTTGGCTGCATAAATGTCTTCTTTTGAGAAGTGTCTGTTCATGTCCTTCGCCCACTTTTTGATGGGGTTGTTTGTTTTTTTCTTGTAAATTTGTTTGAGTTCATTGTAGATTCTGGATATTAGCCCTTTGTCAGATGAGTAGGTCGCAAAAATTTTCTCCCATTTTGTAGGTTGCCTGTTCACTCTGATGGTAGTTTCTTTTGCTGTGCAGAAGCTCTTTAGTTTAATTAGATCCCATTTGTCAATTTTGGCTTTTGTTGCCATTGCTTTTGGTGTTTTGGACATGAAGTCCTTGCCCATGCCTATGTCCTGAATGGTAATGCCTAGGTTTTCTTCTAGGGTTTTTATGATTTTAGGTCTAACGTTTAAGTCTTTAATCCATCTTGAATTGATTTTTGTATAAGGTGTAAGGAAGGGATCCAGTTTCAGCTTTCTACATATGGCTAGCCAGTTTTCCCAGCACCATTTGTTAAATAGGGAATCCTTTCCCCATTTCTTGTTTTTCTCAGGTTTGTCAAAGATCAGATAGTTGTAGATATGTGGCATTATTTCTGAGGGCTCTGTTCTGTTCCATTGATCTATATCTCTGTTTTGGTACCAGTACCATGCTGTTTTGGTTACTGTAGCCTTGTAGGATAGTTTGAAGTCAGGTAGTGTGATGCCTCCAGCTTTGTTCTTTTGGCTTAGGATTGACTTGGCGATGCGGGCTCTTTTCTGGTTCCATATGAACTTTAAAGTAGTTTTTTCCAATTCTGTGAAGAAAGGCATTGGTAGCTTGATGGGGATGGCATTGAATCTGTAAATTACCTTGGGCAGTATGGCCATTTTCACGATATTGATTCTTCCTACCCATGAGCATGGAATGTTCTTCCATTTGTTTGTATCCTCTTTTATTTCCTTGAGCAGTGGTTTGTAGTTCTCCTTGAAGAGGTCCTTCACGACCCTTGTAAGTTGGATTCCTAGGTATTTTATTCTCTTTGAAGCAATTGTGAATGGGAGTTCGCCATGATTTGGCTCTCTGTTTGTCTGTTAGTGGTGTATAAGAATGCTTGTGATTTTTGTACATTGATTTTGTATCCTGAGACTTTGCTGAAGTTGCTTATCAGCTTAAGGAGATTTTGGGCTGAGACAATGGGGTTTTCTAGATATACAATCATGTCGTCTGCAAACAGGGACAATTTGACTTCCTCTTTTCCTAATTGTATACCCTTTATTTCCTTCTCCTGCCTAATTGCCCTGGCCAGAACTTCCAACACTATGTTGAATAGGAGTGGTGAGACAGGGCATCCCTGTCTTGTGCCAGTTTTCAAAGGGAATGCTTCCAGTTTTTGCCCATTCAGTATGATATTGGCTATGGGTTTGTCATAGATAGCTCTTATTATTTTGAAATACGTCCCATCAATACCTAATTTATTGAGAGTTTTTAGCATGAAGGGTTGTTGAATTTTGTCAAAGGCTTTTTCTGCATCTATTGAGATAATCATATGGTTTTTGTCTTTGGCTCTGTTTATATGCTGGATTACATTTATTGATTTGCATGTATTAAACCAGCCTTGCATCCCAGGGATGAAGCCCACTTGATCATGGTGGATAAGCTTTTTGATGTGCTGCTGGATTCGTTTTGCCAGTATTTTATTGAGAATTTTTGCATCAATGTTCATCAAGGATATTGGTCTAAAATTCTCTTTTTTGGTTGTGTCTCTGCCCGGCTTTGGAATTGGAATGATGCTGGCCTCATAAAATGAGTTAGGGAGAATTCCCTCTTTTTCTATTGATTGGAATAGTTTCAGAAGGAATGGTACCAGTTCCTCCTTGTACCTCTGGTAGAATTCGGCTGTGAATCCATCTGGTCCTGGACTCTTTTTGGTTGGTAAGCTATTGATTATTGCCACAATTTCAGCTCCTGTTATTGGTCTATTCAGAGATTCAACTTCTTCCTGGTTTAGTCTTGGGAGAGTGTATGTGTCGAGGAAGTTATCCATTTCTTCTAGATTTTCTAGTTTATTTGCATAGAGGTGTTTGTAGTATTCTCTGATGGTAGTTTGTATTTCTGTGGGATCGGTGGTGATATCCCCTTTATCATTTTTTATTGCGCCTATTTGATTCTTTTCTTTTTCTTTATTAGTCTTGCTAGTGGTCTATCAATTTTGTTGATCCTTTCAAAAAACCAGCTCCTGGATTCATTAATTTTTTGAAGGGTTTTTTGTGTCTCTATTTCCTTCAGTTCTGCTCTAATTTTAGTTATTTCTTGCCTTCTGCTAGCTTTTGAATGTGTTTGCTCTTGCTTTTCTAGTTCTTTTAATTGTGAGTTAGGGTGTCAATTTTGGATCTTTCCTGCTTTCTCTTGTGGGCATTTAGTGCTATAAATCTCCCTCTACACACTGCTTTGAATGCGTCCCAGAGATTCTGGTATGTTGTGTCTTTGTTCTCATTGGTTTCAAAGAACATCTTTATTTCTGCCTTCATTTCGTTATGTACCCAGTAGTCATTCAGGAGCAGGTTGTTCAGTTTCCATGTAGTTGAGCGGTTTTGAGTGAGATTCTTAATCCTGAGTTCTAGTTTGATTGCACTGTGGTCTGAGAGATAGTTTGTTATAATTTCTGTTCTTTTACATTTGCTGAGGAGAGCTTTACTTCCAAGTATGTGGTCAATTTTGGAATAGGTGTGGTATGTTGCTGAAAAAAATGTATATTCTGTTGCTTTGGGGTGGAGAGTTCTGTAGATGTCTATTAGGTCTGCTTGGTGCAGAGCTGAGTTCAATTCCTGGGTATCCTTGTTGACTTTCTGTCTCGTGGATCTGTCTAATGTTGACAGTGGGGTGTTAAAGCCTCCCATTATTAATGTGTGGGAGTCTAAGTCTCTTTGTAGGTCACTCAGGACTTGCTTTATGAATCTTGGTGCTCCTGTATTGGGTGCATATATATTTAGGATAGTTAGCTCTTCTTGTTGAATTGATCCTTTTACCATTATGTAATGGCCTTCTTTGTCTCTTTTGATCTTTGTTGGTTTAAAGTCTGTTTTATCAGAGACTAGGATTGCAACCACTGCCTTTTTTTGTTTTCCATTGGCTTGGTAGATCTTCCTCCATCCTTTTATTTTGAGCCTATGTGTGTCTCTGCACGTGAGATGGGTTTCCTGAATACAGCACACTGATGGGTCTTGACTCTTTATCCAATTTGCCAGTCTGTGTCTTTTAATTGGAGCATTTAGTCCATTTACATTTAAAGTTAATATTGTTATGTGTGAATTTGATCCTGTCATTATGATGTTAGCTGGTTATTTTGCTCGTTAGTTGATGCAGTTTCTTCCTAGTCTCGATGGTCTTTACATTTTGGCATGATTTTGCAGCGGCTGGTACCGGTTGTTCCTTTCCATGTTTAGCACTTCCTTCAGGAGCTCTTTTAGGGCAGGCCTGGTGGTGACAAAATCTCTCAGCATTTGCTTGTCTGTAAAGTATTTTATTTCTCCTTCACTTATGAAGCTTAGTTTGGCTGGATATGAAATTCTGGGTTGAAAATTCTTTTCTTTAAGAATGTTGAATATTGGCCCCCACTCTCTTCTGGCTTGTAGGGTTTCTGCCGAGAGATCCGCTGTTAGTCTGATGGGCTTCCCTTTGAGGGTAACCCGACCTTTCTCTCTGGCTGCCCTTAACATTTTTTCCTTCATTTCAACTTTGGTGAATCTGACAATTATGTGTCTTGGAGTTGCTCTTCTCGAGGAGTATCTTTGTGGCGTTCTCTGTATTTCCTGAATTTGAACGTTGGCCTGCCTTGCTAGATTGGGGAAGTTCTCCTGGATAATATCCTGCAGAGTGTTTTCCAACTTGGTTCCATTCTCCCCATCACTTTCAGGTACACCAATCAGACGTAGATTTGGTCTTTTCACATAGTCCCATATTTCTTGGAGGCTTTGCTCATTTCTTTTTATTCTTTTTTCTCTAAACTTCCCTTCTCGCTTCATTTCATTCATTTCATCTTCCATTGCTGATACCCTTTCTTCCAGTTGATTGCATCGGCTCCTGAGGCTTCTGCATTCTTCACGTAGTTCTCGAGCCTTGGTTTTCAGCTCCATCAGCTCCTTTAAGCACTTCTCTGTATTGGTTATTCTAGTTATACATTCTTCTAAATTTTTTTCAAAGTTTTCAACTTCTTTGCCTTTGGTTTGAATGTCTTCCCATAGCTCAGAGTAATTTGATCGTCTGAAGCCTTCTTCTCTCAGCTCGTCAAAGTCATTCTCCATCCAGCTTTGTTCCGTTGCTGGTGAGGAACTGCGTTCCTTTGGAGGAGGAGAGGCGCTCTGCTGTTTAGAGTATCCAGTTTTTCTGTTCTGTTTTTTTCCCCATCTTTGTGGTTTTATCTACTTTTGGTCTTTGATGATGGTGATGTACAGATGGGTTTTTGGTGTGGATGTCCTTTCTGTTTGTTAGTTTTCCTTCTAACAGACAGGACCCTCAGCTGCAGGTCTGTTGGAATACCCTGCCGTGTGAGGTGTCAGTGTGCCCCTGCTGGGGGGTGCCTTCCAGTTAGGCTGCTCGGGGCTCAGGGGTCAGGGACCCACTTGAGGAGGCAGTCTGCCCGTTCTCAGATCTCCAGCTGCGTGCTGGGAGAACCACTGCTCTCTTCTAAGCTGTCAGACAGGGACATTTAAGTCTGCAGAGTTTACTGCTGTCTTTTTGTTTGTCTGTGCCCTGCCCCCCAGAGGTGGAGCCTACAGAGGCAGGCAGGCCTCCTTGAGCTGTGGTGGGCTCCACCCAGTTGGAGCTTCCAGGCTGCTTTGTTTACCTAATCAAGCCTGGGCAATGGCGGGCGCCCCTTTCCCAGCCTTGCTGCCGCCTTGCAGTTTGATCTCAGACTGCTGTGCTAGCAATCAGCGAGACTCCGTGGGCGTAGGACCCTCCTAGCCAGGTGCGGGATATAATCTTGTGGTGCGCCGTTTTTTAAGCCAGTCGGAAAAGCGCAATATTCGGGTGGGAGTGACCCGATTTTCCAGGTGCCGTCCCTCACCCCTTTCTTTGCCTCGGAAAGGGAACTCCCTGACCCCTTGCACTTCCCAAGTGAGGCAATGCCTCGCCCTACTTTGGCTCGTACACGGTGCGCGCACCCACTGACCTGTGCCCACTGTCTGGCACTCCCTAGTGAGATGAACCCGGTACCTCAGATGGAAATGCAGAAATCACCGTCTTCTGCATCGCTCACGCGGGGAGCTGTAGACCGGAGCTATTCCTATTCGGCCATCTTGGCTCCTCCCCCTCACATTTCTAATTATAGATATTTATTTGCTTAGAAGAGGAAGTTGACTATTAAAATTTTAATAAAAAGAAATGATAGTTATTAGATTAGGAAATATTATAATGTCACTCTAAAGCATGTTTGGTATATTCTGATAATAGATAATGAATTATAATCTTGCTTGTGCAACTCCTCGTTTAATGAAATGGCTATTTCTCTGTGTGACATTTCATTACAACACCAGAATCAAGGACTTGAGAATTTATTTTTCCCCCTATTATTCAAAAATATTACAAAATGCAGTTTCACTGTCATTAGGATGTACTTAAACCACAAGGTGTTACAAGATCTAATCTCTGGGATAATGTCTGCATTAAAGAATTTGTGTCAGCTCAACCCTTTCTCTTCTCTGTGAAGAATAACAGCATAACTAAATGATCTTTAAGATGGCAATAAAAGCTTTTCCTGCTTCACAGTTCATCACTGGCTTCTTTTCTGATGAGCTCTAAAAATTCTGAAAGCTAACACTTTGCTTTAGAGAGATGAGAGAAACATTTCCCCTCACTTGTTCAAACTTTTTCCAACTGTGTCTATTTCCTTCCCAATAATTGTACAGAAGATAGTAGACTTGAAAGAGGTATGCATTTGAATCTCTATGTTTCTAGTTCAAAATAGAGGTGAAATCTCTATTCACAAATATTCTTAATTAGAGGAATATGAAGTATGAAAGCCTAGGAAGAAAACATTTTATTAAGAGCCTTGCTTGTGGAGTGAATGACTGTCTTTCTTGGATAGAAATTCAATGGTGGGAGTCTGTTTGAAGGTTAGAAGTCTTGGGCTGGGCGCGGTGGCTCACGCCTGCAATCCCAGCACTTTGGGAGGCCGAGGCGGGCGGATCATGAGGTCGGCAGTTTGATACCAGCCTCACTAACATGGTGAAACCCCGTCTGTACTAAAAATACAAAAATTAGCTGGGTATAGTGGTGTGTGCCTGTCATCCCAGCTACTCAGGAGGCTGAGGCAGAAGAATCGCTCGAACCCGGGAGATGGAGGTTGCCCTGAGCTGAGATTGCACCACTGCACTCCAGCCTAGGTGACAGAGTGAGACTCCATCTCAGAAAAAAAAAAAAAGAAAAGAAAAGAAAAGAAGGTTAAAAGTCTTGTTGGACAATGTATTTTCTCTGTCTTTGAATTGGAACTCTTCACTTGAGGAGAGAAGGACAAGAGAGCTCCACAAAGGGAGAGTTTTGATCATTACTGGCACATCTAAACATCTGTGTTTAGATGCAAAATACTTGTGAATGATTCATGTAAGTGGGGCACCATTCACTTCTGACCAATCTGCCTAAGTGCCAAGATAGTGAAGCCAGCTGTAATATCCAATTTACACTAAGCCCCTTCCCTATCATATTTCATTTAACTGTTGAGCTTGTCATTTATTTATTACAACACAGCAGTATTACAACAGGTCCACATTTCACTCTCCATAATGAGAAATCTCTAAGGGAAATCTTCATTTTCTTTTATGGCTTAAGAACAACTCATCTTCCATTTTTCACGAAGTATCATGAGTCCTAAATTCAGGAAAAAAATTCTGGTCCAAGGTACTAGATATAAAACATATATCTCAAAAGGCCTAGATGTTTTATTCAGGGATGGCTATATCAATTTCTTATATATTGTCTACACGGATATCCTTACCAGAACCTGGTTAACATGGGTTTACTGCTGCAGAGAATCAGAGTAAGATTACATATCTGGAAAAATAACAACCATCATTTTTTTCAACATATGTTTATTGAGCTTCTACTGTGGGCCAAGCACTCTGCAATGGTTGGTGAGGATAACACAGATTTTTTTTGGATCAGATTCTGCTTTTATATAACTTATAGCCAAGAAGGACAGATATACCCATAAGTGCCAATTGTAAGACAGGGAGTGATACATGACCCAAGTAAGGGAGTAGGGAGAAAAGTGTTATAGATATGTAGGGGAGAGCTCGGGGAAAAGTTAATGGAGAAGATAGTATAATAATATTTTTTAAAGAACTGATAAAATTGGAAACCTACATAATTTACTTATCAAGTGATAAAATTTAAAAATCAACTGGCAGGAAGATATACATGTGCATTTAAGCAAGATGTGGAGTTGACTTCTAGGTCACTCTAGGAACAAAATGCCTCTGAATTTTCAAATGTAATTTGGCTTGGGGATTTTGATCCCAATTTTGTTGATTATCATGACAATAATCATAACCTGTCGTGAAGAATGAAGTTAGCTGTTAGCCTCCAGCTTCAGTTCCTTCAGAATCCACCCGGCTGCTCCAGCCCAGGCCATGCCCTTCCTGGTCAGCTCTCAGCCAGTAACTGAACATAATGCGGTCCTAGGCCCTGCTCATTTCTCCACAACTCTGTTCTCCTCTCAGGCCATCCCCCTGCCGGGACTCCCTGTGGGGCTGGCCTAAATATCCCCAGAGCTCTACCACCATTGAGGCTCTTCCTTCCGGACTCCCTTCCTTCTGCCCTTTCACATTGCAGCCTGGAGGATCCCCCCCAACATATCCCAGGTCCCTCTCTTTTCTCTTTAAGGAGCATCAGCCCCAATTAACTTCTTGGTGTCTGCTTTCTGGAAGACCCAAACTGACAATGTAGCTGTCACGTCTTTAGTCCTCATAAACATTGATTAAATATTGGGGATTTTACTTACTTGCATTTTATCGTTAAAGGGACAGACAGGGAAGTTAAATGGTTTGTCCATTTTCTCAAAACTGTTAAATGGTGAAAGTGACGTTGGATCGCCTTTCTGAATAGAGTATGCATGTCCTTAGATATACTTCAGTGTTTAAGAGGAGTCTATTGTGATTCTTTTTGTTTAGTGAAATCTCATTTTAAACTTCAATCAATCAATCAGTCACTTGGGGCACTCACTCTTTTTCTTTTTGGTGAATCTAGATTTGCACATGTTGGGTTAAAAAGGACTCCTGTGAGAATATATTTTGTGCTGATTTAGATGTCTTTTTTTTTTTTTTTTTTTTTTTTTTAACAGAAGGGTCAGCGTGTGTCTTTCTGGCAGGACTGCCATTAGCTTCACTCCAGGCTGGAGTTTTAGCAGCATTCTGATCCCCAGCTTAAAACAAACAAACAAACAAACAAACAAAAAGCACATGGGCAAGACATTGCACAGGCTCTTGCTGCCCTGATTGCTTTCATTGTTGAAGCACACCTATTGCTTTTCTTTCGCAGGCTCTTCAATCAGACCGATGCCATCACCCCCTAGCCTGATATTCAAGGCCTCATTGCCTGCTCTCTCCAACTCTGCTTCATAATCTATGTGGCAACAACAACCAACTTTTGATTAGTCCTCAAAAAGCCTTTACCCCTGAGCATTTTCAGACGTCTTTCAAGCTAAATACATTCTGCCCTCCCTCAAATCAAGGCTTTTTCACTAAGAGCTCTCTCTCTTTTTAAACATTTTAAGCTAGGTGAATGGGGAAGGAAGGACCTACACATGCCTAAAGTCCTTGCTAGATAACTTCTATCGGAAGCCTTTAGTCACTCGCTAAAATGGATTTGTTTGTCCCTACGATTAGCTCCACAGTCCAAAGAGTATGTACTTGAAGCAGGAGATAATCCTAAGAGAAGAGGTGATCCTAATATAGCACCTGGCACACAGTATAAAGGCACTGCATGAATTAATATTAAAATGATGTACATTATAAAAATATCTATTTGTGTCACTAAACTTTGAGTCGCTGAAAAATTAGAATTCTATAATTTTCATTTTGAATCTATTTCCTCCAAAAGAGTCTTGTATCCGATGGCTCCCCAATACATGTATAACTGGCGAATTCAGATCAATGTGGAAAAATAATATTTATTGCTAAACATGATTGCCATTTACTGTAGACAGTGAAGTATAGTGAGAAAAAACATACAGTAAATTTTCAATATGATCTGTCTCCAAGAATTAAAATAGCCACAAATTATTATGTATTATTGTCCTTTTGTGATAAGTAATTCTGCTTTGTTAAAGATTTTGTTTCTTCAATGGGAAAAAGCATCATAAACTAAAAGTTGTCAGGAATTGCCATTCTTTTTCAGTCATCAGATGTTAATAGTTACCCAAAGGTTTTTGTAGCCATACCATTACTTGGAATCGAGCAGGGGAAATTACCCGTAATGGCATTAACCTCTTGAACTTCTTTTAGTATCTCTGCCTCTAAGGGAAAAAAATTCCCTGGTGTAGTTGTTTGGATCTGGTCAAATTCTCTAAGAATTGTTAAACTCTCTGGACAACATGTCTAGTGTAAACTTTCCTCTAAATAATAAATTTGTAGTTCAGCAACAAGCTAGACATCTCTGGGTAACATTTCCACCTTCTTGTTTACATTGTATGTCCAGCCTTTGGAAAAGCGTTTGGTAAAATATAAACTGGTTGGAAAAAAAATTAAAATATCACCAACACTATTTTTAAAAGAGAAATATTTATAATAGCTGGAAGTCATACTTAAGATTATAACATTTTAGGATATAGTGTGTTTGCAGTCAGATGTGAAATCAATGTACAAAGGGTCAAGACAAAGAATATTTCTCCTCCAGGCATTTCTAAAAAGAAAAAAAAGACCACTATATAGCCTCAATATCTCCAATGACCTAAATTCTCCAGGCAGTTAATAGAAGACGAAAATTTAAAAAGAACATGAGAGAGAACAGCATTTCATGATTCAGTGATGTTTCTTGAGGGAGGCAGGCTGCAAAAACAGAATAGGAACTTCATTTGAGGCTTGCTGTACATCCAACCACTGCTTCTCTCTTGCTTCTGCTCATTAAGCTTATAGTAAATTGCACCAGAAATACAATGACTTATAAGAAGAAAAGTGACACATTCTACTTAGAAAAAATCTGTAAAGCTAGAACTGAGAAAATAAAACCAAAGTACTCAGCAGATAAAATGTAAGTGATGGCCGGGCGCGGTGGCTCACGCCTGTAATCCCAGCACTTTGGGAGGCCGAGGCGGGCGGATCACGAGGTCAGGAGATCGAGACCATCCCGGCTAAAAACGGTGAAACCCCGTCTCTACTAAAAATACAAAAAATTAGCCGGGCGTAGTGGCGGGCGCCTGTAGTCCCAGCTACTTGGGAGGCTGAGGCAGGAGAATGGCGTGAACCCGGGAGGTGGAGCTTGCAGTGAGCCGAGATTGCACCACTGCACTCCAGCCTGGGCGACAGAGCGAGACTCCGTCTCAAAAAAAAAAAAAAAAAAAAAAAATGTAAGTCATTTATCACTAGTCTAGGACTTTGTACAAGGAGAGGCTCCAGAGCTCATAAAGTTGGCTAGACAATTGCAGTGATCTATGGAGACTGACCAACACCTTTCTGATCCCTAAGGCTCATAAGTTAGAAGAACAACCAGAGTGTAAGCTCTGGATCTGACATTAGGAAAAAAGCAGATATAAAACAAAATTAAAACTGCAGTGGTCATGGTGGTAATATATTGTTCATCGGAGGTTTGTAGAATTAAAAAAGATTGTCACTGGAGTGGAAGGATTCAAGTTTAAATGCCTTTTGTATTTGAAGAAGTGTGAAGTTAACGCATACCCTTGAATGTCATTATTTAATGACATTTTACACCTACATAATCTCCCCTCTTTCTTATAATTAGGGTTGGCAAGGATCAGGGTCAGAAAAACCTCGTATCCAGCAAATGTAGATATTAAATATTAATAGGAGGTAGAAATAAACAATCCCAAATTGACTAGCTCTATAAATGTAGGCTGGGCTTTGATTCATTTTTTAAGGCCATAGGTCATGACAAAGAATATTTATCCTTTGGACATTTCTAAGAATATATGAGCTGTAGTTTATCTTCCTTGCCTCACAATTCCATACATTTAGAAAAAAAGGGCCAATGGACTTCATAAATTGTCTTCTCAAAAAATCCTTTACTTTACTGATCAGGATATTAAGGCTCCGAGAGCATAAGTGAGTTATATCCTGAAACTTAAAGCAGGCATAAGCCAGGAATAGATCTCAGCTATCCACGTGTCACTGTCATAAATAACTATACAAGATTATTTGTTAGTTGTACTCTTTTTATTTCCCAAAAGAAAAGTTGATATAAATTCTTGGATGCCTGGCTATTCCCTAGAACATGATCTTTTTTTTTTCACTTAACTTTTTTAAATGAATGAAGAAATCTCTTAGCTTTTTAAACAAATATTTACTGATGCCATATAGGAATTTTGCTAGCTCTAGGCACTGGGTATGTAGAGATTATATAAATCAAGGATATTAATAAAGGAATGGACTTTATTCCAATGCTACCTATTAGTAGGTTTAATTTTTTCCCGTTCCTCATAGCTCATTGGCTGCTGCACAGATTCTCACATGCTGAGTAGGATGTCTTGAGACAGCCAGCTTGCTTCTGATGGTCAAAATGGTGTCAGGACTTTCTGTAGCACATCAGTAGTTGCCTGCATGAAGTTTGATATGTGTTTATACACAAAAGGTGACATCTTTGGAAGAAAGGAGAAAAGGGTTTTGTTACTCATCTGCCTCTGATAAGCGTGTGATTTTGAGAAAGTCACATTTTCTCAGTGAACCTTGGTTTTATCAAGCAATAGTTTTCCATCCAGTTTTTTTTTTTTTTTGAGTTGGGGTCTCACTCTCTCGCCCAGGCTGGAGTGCAGTGGCACGATCACAGCAGATTCGACCTCTAGGCTCAACCAATCCTCCTACCTTAGCCTCTGGAGTAGCCAGGATTAGAGGCATGTGTCATCATACCCAGATAATTTTTAAATTCTTTGTATAGACAGGGTCTCCCTATGTCATCCGGGCTGGTCTTGAACTTCTGGCCTCAAGCGATCCCCCTGTCTTCACCTCCCAAAGTGCTGGGATTACAGGCATGAGCCACTGCACCCAGCCTCTGGTTGCTTTTGCTTCTAATGAACAGTGGGTGATTACAGGAATTTATCATCAAGGATTGACTAAAATATAAGAATTATAGCTAAAGATGTTGAACAGATGACATTTATAAGTTTAATTATTTTCATTATGAATGCAATTATAGTTGCAGGTCCTTGAAAGAAAAGCATTTTTACTGAGTAATTGTTCATTATAGCATGGTGTTAATGGGCATTAAGGCCAGGGGCTTTTCCTTTTTTCAGCCACACCGGTGATGTTTCTCCATTACTCCCCTGAATTGCTACATTGAAGGACATGATAGCAATGCTATTGCCCCAAGAAGGGCAGGTTGTGTAAACTATTAAGAGATCCCTAGACTGAAAAATAGACACAGCTGAATCCTACTGTCTGTCCCACTATTTATTAGATTTTGGGTAAATGGCTTAAATTCACTGAACCCAAGTTACCACAATCATAAAGTGAAGTGATGGTGCCAGGTTTATTTCAGCACCATTTTTCATAGCTACAGGACTACAGTTTACTCCTTTCACTAGGGTATTCCTTACTGTGGCCTGCCAGGTATGCTGTGGAGTGGGAATAAACTTGGGTTTCACCCCCTTATGCCTTGGATTGCTAACATTCCTACTGGAACATTGTCTGGGGGACTATTGGGAGACCTCATCTGGCAGAGGAAACGGCCACTAACATCTATATTTGATGGCTGTTAGGAATACTGGAATTGTGTGCCACATCTGTTTCCTGAAGATCATGTTAACTTCTAGAATGTTTCTTGGTGTCAGGTGTTTCGGCACAGTGATGCGGATAATTCCTCCCCTTTAATATGTTGGGAGAGAGTTAGGGTGTGGGAGGAGTCTAGGATGAATACCTGAGTTTTGTCTTAATATGCATCATATATATCATGTAATAGGTATCAATTGTTTGCAAAACACCATCCTGTGTGCAATATGCCTATTAAACAGTAACGAGATATTATTTCAACTATTTCAAGAAGAGAACAGAAATTAAGGGAAAGTAAGTAATCGAAGTACACAAATGTTGAATATTTTTATAAGATAACTTATTACTAACCAACAATTCCAGAATTTGAACATATACCTGGTGGATTGAGAGTCTAACTTTGAACATACAGAAGGTAATATGCCATAATAATATTAAAATCAGGAAAATTTATTTCAGATAATATCTTGTCAAACATCTTAAATTTACAAATGAGGTCAAATTTACGAATGAGAGCCAGGGGTTGAATGTTTATCTTCCCAAGGCCAGCAAGTATCCGCACTAAAAATATCTAAGCAGGACTCTCTAGCTACCAACCCAATGTTCTCCTCACTAGAGAGATATTTTTTTCATTCCAGTTTTCTTACCTTCCCCAATACCAAAAGTGCTTATTATATATGAGCTTGCAGATGATGACATCAAGAGGGAAGTGAGGCAAGATATTAACTGACCACCTGTTTTGTCTGAGATTCTAGGTGAGTCAGTTTTGCCATTTAATCTTTAAAAATCATGATGCGGCAGAGACAGACAGGGACGCTGAAGTCAGAGGTTACGTCACTTCATAAAGATGAGAACAGAGCCAGGAAAAATTCAAATTCCTTATTGGATTGTCTCAAAGACTTTTTAGATAAAACACTTTGGAAAGTTTAAGTTGAAATTATAAATTAAATTTAAAAATTTAAATTTATTTAAAATGCTAGGCAGTTTGAATTAAAAGATACGTTACCTCATTATTACATTTTATAATGCCCCTCAAGTTTTTATGTTCAAAATTTTCCCCCAGAAGGCAAGAATAGTTTCTTTGAACTATGACTGCTACTGTTTTACTCTGAGTCATTTTTGGTGTGTAAATTGTGCATATTTGAATAGTTCGTAAGCTTCTGCAATCTATATCTGGGACAATTCCAAATTCCATCCTGCCTAGTTCTAAAACCATGAGAAAAGCAAAAAATTCAATTCATTTGAATTTCTCTAATAGCTGGGTAAGGGCTGATCATTGACAGAATTGTGGAACCCTATTGAATATTTACTTGTATGGATAGTAATTATATGAGCTTCTCGATCTCACCAGAAGGATGTATTTTTAGTATCTTTATTGTCTTGGTTTTAAGGTAAAGTAAAACCTATTTGGTAATGAGTTTTGTGGATCTATCGCAGAGAAGTTTAAATTATTCTCTTATTCAGGCCAGGGACAAACAAGGGAGCAAGAGGGATTAGATAAATTAAATAGATGATTAACTGTGAGTAAGAATTTTATCAACTCTTAGCAAGGGTTCAGACAGTCAGACATCATATACCAGGCAGAGTGAGAGAAAAGTTGCTTCTCTAATCTAGAGAAGAATAGGTGACTGCAGTTTAGGACCTTGCATAGTTCTTTGAAAGACAAAACAAACAACAAATAAACAAACCCAAATATGACTAGAAATAGAGACCTCTTTGAGGGCTTTTACATGTAGGTCCCCACTCTGAATGCTCCATCTATTGATTCTCATAGGACCATCTTTTCTTTAGCAAGATACAGATATTTGGCCCTTTGGGGATCAGTTCTCATTTTTGTTGTGTGAATAAATAATCTTGATTAAGAAAAAACGCTTTCTAAACTCACTTGCTCCTTTTGCTGTGGTTTTTTTAAAAAGCTGCATATTGTAACGACTTTATGTGTAAATATTTTAGAATAAAAATTGTAAAGTACAACTGTGTTTTGCTTAAAATGTTAAAAACTCAGAACAACATGATTTAACAAATAAGCAATTTAGAAAGGAGATACTCAAGAACACAGGTCAGCAAACTACATCCCTCAGGCCATACCACTCTGCCTGAAAGCTAAGAATCGTTTTTAGATTTTTAAAGGTTGTAAAAAAAAAAAAAGAGAAGAATATATGTATATGTCCCACAAAATCTGAAATATTTGTTGTATGATCCTTAAGAAAAGGGTTGCTTTGACTCCTGATTTAGAACATTTAAAAAATAAACTTTACAACTTATTTTCTTTATAGTCTTATTAAAATCTTTTTCCATGAATTATTATACTTGAGGTTACATCTTGGTGTAGATAAATTGTTAATAGCCCCATTTTACAGATAAGAAATTGAAATTAAGTGATACATCCATGACTACTTAACCTTTCAAATATGTGAATAATATGATCCTCTAAATTGTATTTACTGCTTTAGTGCATTATCATCAATGATTATATATGCTAATATTTAATCTCTACATCAAAAATATTCCATCAAAATGCGTAAATCTTCCATTTATATTCAAATAATATAATTTACACAAATAAAATATAAATAAAACTTGATTTGAGAAAAATCTGTATAGCAAAACCTACATGGGTTTTTTGTTGTTGTTTTGGACATGAGTCAATTATGAACTAAGCATGTACTATTATTGTTAAAAATAGTTTATAGATAAAGATAATCATAGTCCCTTGGGGACAATTTGGTCCTTCCAAAGATCCAAAACTATGAGAATTACAGAAAATGCAAGGGACATTTAATAACACACATCTGGACAGTGAATGTGTTCATATAATATAAAATTAATACTAACTAGACTTATTTAATATGAAAACAAAATATATTCAGAAAATGAGAGACTTAAGATGTAAAAGAAAGATAAGATTCACTGTGTTCCCTGGATCAATAATTGCAATTATTCAAAATATATGATGAATTCTGAAAACAGATGAATATTGGAAAACTTCCTAAATGACACACACCAGGTGAATCACAGACACTTTCTTCATTAGAATATAATCAATAATGTGGATGATGATTTAAGAAGCTTCATTAGCAAATATGTAAATTTCACAAAGAGAGGAGTATCCTGCTCAATGGTAGGCAGTTGTATCTGTTCTAATATACTTTTGTTTTTTTGAGATGGACTCTTGCTGGATTCCAGGCTGGAGTGCAGTGGCACGATCTCAGCTCACTGAAATCTCTGCCTCCTGGATTCAAATGATTCTCCTGCCTCAGTCTCCCGAGTAGCTGGGATTATAGGCACCCACCACCAAACTGGGGTAATTTTTGTATTTTTAGTAGAGACGGGGTTTCGCTGTGTTGGCCAGGCTGATCTTGAACTCCTGACCTCAGGTGATCGGCCTTCCTCGGCCTCCCAAAGTGCTGGGATCACAGGCGTGAGCCACTGCACTCTGAATGCACCCAATCTCGTCTGTTCTAATATACTTTCCTCTTTTGCCTAAAAATATCTTAATATATGTTTTAGTCAACTAGCCACCATGAAGTTTCAAACTATCAGTTGCAACAATAGCTGTTTTAGACATTTTGCTTGATATATGGCATGGCTGTTGTCTTAAGTGATATTTTAAAATGCATATATTAACAAAAGCACACTCTCAATTTACTTAGCACCAGTTATTAAATTTATGATTAACTAAATTTAAAAAACTAAAATGATAATTTATGTAAAGCACGTAAACAAATGCTCACACTTGGTCTGTCAGTGTACTGTGGCAAATGGGGTCATTAAACACTGAATGCGATATTACAGACGATAAATTGTAGTCGGTTTTAGGGGGTTAGGTAATGCTTAGTATACGAGGGTAGATTGAAAAGACAAAAGTTATAGTACTTATTTAATTTATTATAATATTTTATTTAGTTATAATATTGTAATTTATTATAATTATTTATAATATAGTTATAAATCTGAACATTTATCATTTTATCCTTGTACTTTAAGTTCTAGATGAGAAACAACCTAAAATACTATACTTTGGCCACTTCCTATGGATCTATACCCTGGACTTTGTCGTCTAGCTCTTAACATTCTGATGGTGAGAAGGGAAGGGGACAACAATTTGGTAAAATAATTTCTTTTCATTAACCAAAATAAGGCTTGCTTACGTCATATACACATCTAGTGTTCTCTTTATTCTGTTGCCATGTAATCCTTTTTCTAATGGTCATTGTGGATCCAAAAACTTCTTGAGATTTCTCTTACCTAGACTTTCTATGTAAGTCCTAGGGGAGCTGTGGCAATTGTTCACTATGATTTTCTGAACCCAGGAACAACAATGAAAACTTGAGGAATTTAGTCAAAAAAGAAAATATTTAGCCCCGAACATTTTGCTCACTAATTTGCAAATTTTCTTCTTGCATCATATGCAACATGATATTTTGAAGTATTACATCGTAGAATGGTTAAATCTAGTTAATTAACAAGTACATTTCCTCACATGGTTATCATTTTTTGTGGGGAGAACATTTACTCTTCTTAGCATTTACAAGAATACAATATATTATAAACTGTAGTCACCATGCTGTAAGTATAGAGCACCCTTGACGTAACTAACTTATCTTAGAAAAAGACTCCATTTTATATTTCATAGAGCACTTTGCCAACAAGGATAACATGTTTTGTTTAATAAACGAATAAATAAGGACTGCATCCAACCAGATAGGGACCCAAACAAAGGCATTATTTCACTCTCAGTTCCCACCAGAGGACTCCGTGGCTATAAAAGACCAAGCTTTCGCAGCTCAAAATGGCCGTCTTAACTGACACCTTCTTGTAGTCACTTATGATAAGAATTTGGCATCTGCCAGCCTGGCGCAGTGGCTCACACCTGTACTCCCAGCACTTTGGGAGGCCAAGGCAGGTGGATCACCTGAGGTCAGGAGTTCGAGACCAGCCTGGCCAACGTGGTCAAACCCCATCTCTACTGAAAATACAAAAATTAGCCGGGCCTGGTGGTGTGTGCCTGTAATCCCAGCTACTCGGGAGGCTGAGGCAGGAGAACCACTTGAACCAGGGAAATGGAGGTTGCACAGAGCCGAGATCGTGCCACTGCACTCCAGCCTGGGTGACAAAGTGAGACTCCATCTCAAAAACAAAAACAAACAAACAAAAAACCCCAAAGAATTTAGTATCTGCAGCCAGGCACGGTGGCTCACACCTGTAATCCCAGCACTTCAGGAGGTCAAGGTGGGCAGATCATGAGGTCAGGAGTTCAAGACCAGCCTGACCAACATAGTGAAACCTCGTCTCTTCTAAAAATACAAAAATTAGCCAGGCATGGTGGCAGGTACCTGTAATCCCAGCTACTGGGGTGGCTAAGGCAGGAGAATCGCTTGAACCTGGGAGGCGGAGGTTGCAGTGAGCCGAGATAGCACCATTGCACTCCAGCCTGGGCAACAGAGCGAGACTCCATCTCAAAAAAAAAAAAAAAAAAAAAAAAAAAAAATTTGGCATCTGCCACCAAAGGCACTATCATCTCATAGACTCTTCCTTGCAAGACCAGTGGACTGTCTAGCCCAAACCAGGACTCATTTTATTGTCTTAGTTCTCCCTGGACTGGTTTGTTAACCCTTTCTCCTATCTCTTTTTCCCCTTGATGTTATATGTTACTCTGTTTGTTGTGGAATAATTAACCTTTAACTTTTATATATGGATCAAATATTCTATTATGTATGGTTTGCAAAACTGACTGACTTGTGGAGTGACTTGAGCCTGTGTGCTGGTGGCTCTGACTACTGAGTGTATGGTAATTACTAAGGAGATTTGCCTTCTTGGGAACTCCATGTAGCTCGTGGCTTTTGTCATTGAAGTAGCAACAGTAAAACCCTACATTGTGGAAAGACACAGGCATGCATGGACCTTGTTATCTCTAACTTTGCACCATTCGTGACACTGTACAATAGATATCTTGAACTTATTAATTCTACCTAAGTGTATATATGTGTCCTTTGGCCAACATGTCCCCAACCTCCTCTTTCCACTAAAAACCTAGCCTCTGATAATTGCCATTCTACTCTCTACTTCTATGAGATCAACTCTTTTAGATTCCACATGTGAGTGAGATTATGTGGTGTTTGTTTTTCTGTGTCTGGATTATTTCACTTAACGTAGTGTCCTCCATGTTCATCCATGTTGTCACAAATGGCAGAATTTCTTTCTTGTAGTTGAATAGTATTCCATTGTGTGTATATAACACATTTCCTTTATCCATTCATCTGTTGATAAACACTTAGGTTGATTTCATATCTTAGATATTGTGAATAATGCTGCAATAAATATGCAAGTGCAGATATCTCTTCAACATACTGATATCATTTCCTTTGGATATATGCTCAGTAGTGGGATTGCTGGATCATATGGTAGTTCTATTTTTAGTTTTTTTGAAACTATCATACTGTTTGCCATCATGGTGGTACCAATTTACTTTCCCACCAACATTTTCAAGGGTTTTCTTTACTCCACATCCTCCCCAATGCTTAATATCTATTGTCTTCCTGATAATCGTGATTCTCTCAGGAGAAGGGCTATTATCAGAAAGGCAGGTGGAGTTGTCAAGAGAAAGAAATAAAAGTCATCCAAATTGGAAAGGAAGAAGTTAAATCATCTCTATTTGCAGATAACATGATCTTATATATAGAAAACCCTAAGGCTCCACCAAAAAGTTGTTAGAATTAATAAACAAATTCAGAAAAGTTGCAGATACAAAACCAACACACAAAAACTATATCTATATACTAACACAGGACCAACTAAAAGAGAAGTCAAGAAAACAATGTTATTTACAATAGCTAAAAAAATACTTAGATTAAGAATAAATTTAATCAAGGAGGTGAAAAATATCTATTCTGAAAATTATAAAACATTAACGAAAGAAAGTGAAGAAGACACAAACAGATATTTGTTCATGGATTGGAAGAATTAATATTGTTAAAATGTCTGTACCATTCAAAGTGATCTACAGAATCAATGCAATCCCTATCAAAATACCAATTAGATTCTTCACAGAAATAGAAAAACAATCTAAAATTTGTATGGATCCAAAAAGACCTCTAATAGCCAAAGCAATCTTGAGGAAAAAGAACAAAGCTGAAGGCTTGGCACTACCTGACTTCAAAATACACGACAGTTAGAGTAACCAAAACAGCATGGTACTTACATAAAAACAGACTCATAGAGTAATGGAAGATAATAGAGAGAGTAGAAATAAATCTACATTTACAGTCAACTCGTTTTCAACAAAGGTGCCAAGAATACACAATGAGGAAAAACAGTCTTTTCAATAACTGGTGTTGGGGAATGCAAAAAATGAAACTAGACTCCTATCTCTCAGTATATTCAAAAATCAGCTCAAAATGGATTAAAGATTTAAATGTAATGCCCCAACCTATGAAACTAATAGAAGAAAACATAGAGGAAAACTTCCTAATACTGGTCTGGGCAGTGCTTTTCTGATTATGACTTCAAAAGCATGGACAACAAAAGCAAAAATAGACAAATGAGACAAAATCAAACTAAAAAGCTTCTGCACAGAAAACAAAATCCACTCAACAGAGTGAAGAGACCACCTACGGAATGGGAGAAAATATTTGCAAACTATACATCTGATAAGGGGCTAATATCCACAATGTATAAGGAACTTAATAGCAAGAAAACAAATAACTTGATTTTATAATGGGCTAAAGACTTAAATAAATTTTTTTTTAAAAAACATACAAATGGCTAACAGTTGTATGAGGAAGTGCTCAATATCACTAATTATCAGGGAAATGCAAATCAACACCACAGGGAGAAAAAGTTTTTAACATAAGCAATTCAAGAAATTGTAAAAGGGGCAACTTAATAAACAAAAGAAGGTAGAAGGAAAGTAGTATTAAACTAATATTAAATTTACAAGCATAATTGTGCAATGAAAAAGCAGGCAAGCGATAGTATGATCAGAAATATTTTCTTCTTTGAGGAGAGTAACTAGATAGACAATTCATTGGCAAGATTGTGGAACAAACATAAATAATATTTAAAATATTAGGTATAACGAAGAGCATCACTACTGTTATAATCTGTGTAATCTCTCTCTGTGTGTATCTATACAGATTATTTTTAAATTCAAATACTAAAAATAACTTGATTTCAGATATGATAAAAATAGGATAAGATAGAGAAATTAAAGACCAACAATGTACAATGCATCAAATTCATATGATTGTGTCACTAGAGAGAAAAAAATTAGCAACATTTCTTATGAAAAAGTTTAATTGTATTCTGTGTGTGTATATAAATATACTCTTTTTTTAGTTCATTCTAAATGCCTGTTTTTATATCAGTCTTTTCCCTACTCTATTTTCTGTATTATATTTTGTAAAAGTAATTTCAACTTTTATTTTAGATACGGGGGTACATATTCAGGTTTGTTATAGGGGTATATCATGTATGTATATACTCAATGTTATTGAAAGATACAGCAAGTGTGACACTGAATTGTGAAATGTTCATGTATTCTCTAATGCTTATTAAAGCCAAGAACAAGATAAGCTAACTATAAAACTTGCATTTAACAATGTATTGAAGTCTTACCAAAAGCATAACACTCAGTATGGATATGAAGTGTAAAGATTTTCGAGGGAGTTAAAGAGCCATCATTATTCTCATGTATTTGTCCACATAATGTAATCTTTAAATATCATAAATGTTTCTTTTAGAACTAATAAGAAAGAAAGCAAGTTTGCTAATTTTAAGTTTAGTATACAAATATCAAGAGCATCCTTATATATCAGCAATGAACAATTTAAAAATATATTTTTAAAATGTTATTCTAATCACAATAAATATCATAAATGTACCTAGGGAAAAATGACAATAGATAGGTAACAACTTTATGAAAATAACTTTGTTAGAAAAAATAATATGAGTTTTTAAAAAGAACAAAAATATTGCTTATTTATGAAAGGGAAAATCTATTATTTTAAAGAAAAATTTTTTAAATTAATCTATAGTTAATTAAAATTCAAATAAAATCTCAACTAGGTTTTCTATTGTAACTTGACATGATTCCAACAGTGCAATGGAAGGGCAAAATTAATATTGTGAAAAATAAAGAGAGAAAATACATCATAACATATATCAAGTTTCAGTTTAAAGATAAAGTAATTAAACAGTATTTTTTGTGCAAGAAGGAACAAATAGACTGCTAGAGCTTAGAAGCAGACTTACCCATATAAATGTAAAGTACTGATTATCCAAAAAATGTTGCTGGGAGAATTTCTATTCATATGGAAGTTGAGTGGAAATTTTGCTATCTATCCAATAAACAAAAAAATAAATTTATTTTAGTCATATTAAAAACCATAGAAAAGGCTGGGCGCAGTGGCTCACACTTGTAATCCCAGCACTTAGGGGGGTCGAGGTGGGCAGATCACTTGAGGCCAGGAGTTCAAGACCAGCCCAGCCAACATGGTAAAACCCCATCTCCTCTAAAAATATAAAAATTAGCTGGGCGTGGTGGCAGGCACCTGTAATCCCAGCTTCTTTGGAGGCTGAGGCAGGAGAATCACTTGAACCCGGGAGGCTGCACTCCAGCTTGGGCAACAAGACCAAAACTCTGTCTCAAAAAAAAAAAAAAAAAACAAAAACATACCGTAGAATAAAAAAACTAATTAAAAATAGGATACACTTATTATTTCAGTGTAGTACAAGAATTTTTTTATAAGAAAAGTACAAAACATTAAGACAATATTGTTTTCAGTCATACTGTTATGTATACTGTTAATTTTAATGTCATCAAATTTGCCAATTAAATAAACCTTACTTTTGCATATCTAAGTTTTGTTGCATAGAATGCAGGCACATTTCTTATGATGGCTCTTTATAAGACTTGACTCTGCATGAAGCGCTCTCATTACATCCTAATTCCTAATTAAAAGTGCTGCTTCCATGTGTTTGGGATAGAAGATTGAATTATATGGTTGTTAAGTGCTTTCCCAAATTGGTACATCATGGATGGAAACATTCCACACTTAACAACCTGTGGTTTATAACTATAGTTACCAAATTGGGAACTGAGAGAAATATGCTCTAATATTGACTTAGACTGCTCCTGACATGTAGGTACATATATGTGTGCATGTGTATGCAGAAAGGGCAAGATAAGTCATCTATCATAGCTGCATTATCACGTAAAACTTAAAATCACCTCTCACTGGTGATAGCAATACAGGTTCAAGAGAGTGGAGCTTTAGATATGACCAGTTGCTCATCAGATACATGGTTGAAGGAGAGCTGAGGTTTCCTAATGTTAGAACAGATAGGAGTACTGTGTACCACCAAACCATTAGGAAACAACCCTTTAAAATATGAAATCAAATTTCTGCGGACAGAGGCTCTCCAGAAAAGGGAAGGACAAATTCATATCATTTAACGCAAAATTGTTGAAGGTATTGAACTTTCTTGAAAGCCTCATTCTTTTAATATAACTTTTCCTACAACCAACTTCTATTTTTTTTCTTCCTGAGAACTATTCTCCAAAATATGAATTTGGTTGCTTTTCTTCATGATAGACAATAGTCATAAATTTAAAGAATATTCGTAATGTGGAAAACTGCTGTTCTTGTTTTAGAATTGGTGTAGGCAAACTTGAAAGGAGATGAAATTAGGCCTTCTGTGGAGGAAAGTATATTATACAGAACAACAGAGTTATCTAAACATATAAACATAATGTTGCTGAACCATGCTGATGGAATCAGGACAGCCCTATTGGAATGTAAATTATATGGGGGCACTATTCAAGTCTGCTGTGTTCTCCATTGCATATTGATGATCCAGCACAGTGCTGGACACATGTTAGACACTCAAGAAATTGTGAAAAAAACACACAAATGAGCTAGCAAGTTTGAGAGGCACTTCCTAAGTTGTTTCAGTAGGATTTATCTTTTTTCCTAATAAATGGAACAATTATTTTGTAGATGGACTATTTCCCTCTAGGGTTTTATATGAAGGTAATGCTTTCCAGCAAGCTTGTTTTCATGCATTTTCCCTTATCCTAACACCATCAGGGTAGGTATTTTGTGACTTTTGTCTATTTTCATATCATTTAATGGATTTTATTTCTGAGCTGCATTAAATTGTTTATGCTCTTTCAACACTCATAAGCACAAATAATGAAATTATAAATGAAGAGCATAAATTTACTTAGAATTAAATAATAGGCATACCACCTTGTATTACAGGTATTATCTCATTTAATACACACAGCAATCCCTTAGTAGACATGATTTACCATTTCACAAATTCTCAAACTGAAGCTAAGAGAGATTTGATAAACTTGACAAACTCTCAGAATTAATAAGTGCTTAATTTAGTGATGAACCAATTTAGGTATTTCAGAGCCTTCGTTTTTAAATGCTTTTGTTCTTCATGTGGTTTTTCTAAGGAAAACTCATGTCTTTTTTGTTATTCAGTAGAATAAGGGTGAATGATTTAGCGTGAATTAGAACAAAATTGAATCAACAACAAACTGAGAAGTAAAAGGGAAGTTTCCATGCCTTAGAAAAAGCCCTTTTGCAGAAGACATACATGTGGCCAACAATCACATGAAAAAAAAAAAAAAGGTCAACATCACTGATCATTAGAGAAATGTAAATCAAAACCACCATGAGATACTATGTTACAACAGTCAGAATGGCCACTGTTGAAAAGTCAAAAAATAACAGATGCTGGCGTGGTTGCAGACAAAGAGAAATGCTTATATACTGTTGGTAGAAGTGTAAATTACTTCAACCATTGTGGAAGACAGTGTGGCAATTCTTCAACGTTCTAAAGACAGAAATACCATTCGACCCAGAAACCCCACTTACTGGGTCTATACTCAAAGTAATATAAATTTTTCAATTATGAAGATACATGCATGGGTATGGTCATTGCAGCGCTATTTGCAATATAGCAAAGATGTGGAATCAACTTAAATGTCCATCAATGATAGACTAGAAAAAGAAGATGTAGTTCATATACACCATGGAACACTATGCAGCCGTAAAAAAGAATGAGATCATGTCCTTTGCAGGGACATGGATGAAGTTGGAAGCCATTATCCTCAGCACGCTAACACAGGAACAAAAAACCAAATACCACATATTCTCACTTATAAGTGGGAACTAAATGATGAGAACACAGGGGCACATAGAGGGGACAACACACACTGGTGCCTGTTGAATGATGGAAGGTTGGGGGAGGACAGAGAGGATTAGGAAAAATAACTAATGGGCATTAGGTTTAATACCTGGATGATGAAATAATCTGTATAACAAACACCCATGACACAAGTTTACCTGTGTAACAAATCTGCACATTTGCTGAACTTAAAAGTTAAAAAAAGGAAGAAGCCTTTTGCTTTGCATTGTACTCATAATGACAGCAGAATCGGTGAGCATCAATATGCTACCTACAACCAAAGAGAGTTTAGCACATGTGCTTTGGAGAATCATTTAGCAGCATTCAGATCCCATGGTTTCAGCCTCTCCTATCATCTTATTTTCAATCAGCTTCAGGACAAAGTGACAGAGAAACTGAGTCAGACGAGAAGCCATGTGTAAGCAACTCAGAAGAATAGAATTGTTCACCTCTCTGCATTTGGAGTCTGTGAGATCCTGCTTCCCTCCATATTGGTTCTGTGGTCTATGAGTGGCATGCATTCTGGCTAGAAAAAGAAAATACAGGTGGGACGTGGTGGCTCACGCCTGTAATCCCAGAACTTTGGGAGGCAGAGGGGCAGATCACGAGGTCAGGAGATCGAGAGCATCCTGGCTAACACAGTGAAACCCCGTCTCTACGGAAAATACAAAAAATTAGCTGGGCGTGGTGGAGGGCACCTGTAGTCCCAGCTACTCGGGAGGCTGAGGCAGAAGAATCACTTGAACCCGGGAGGCGGAGGCTGCAGTGAGCCAAGATTGTGCCACTGCAGTCCAGCCTGGGTGACAGAGCGAGACTCTGTCTCAAAAAAAAAAAAAAAAAAAAAAAAAGAGAAAATACAATAAACACAACTTGAAGTAGCTCATATCCCTGCAAGCAAAGCTCTTAAACTACTTTGTCTTGCCACATGTGCCTATGAAAGAGTCACGGCACTCATGAACTGAAATAGCTAAGCTAAACAGCCACACACAAGGCTTTCAACTTATCAGTTCAAAATTTATGGCCAAGAATACTTGCAGCACAAATTTGCAAATTTGTACTCAGATTAAGAGAGTTTAAATCATCTCAAATATTGACATTGTGTATCTCTTATAGCTAAAATCTTCATATTTTCATTACTTCCAGTCATTAACAAAGGATATTAATTGTTTTCTTTTACCAGTATGTGCACATTTTTATTCCAGTTTAATTTAAAAAAGAGAAATCTATGATGCCATAGTCTTTGGAAATTATCACCATAATTTTTATGGTTGACATAGGTGTTCATGAAAGTAATTATGCTGAATTCATCTTTCAGCATAATAAAAATAGACGATGTTCACTGAACACTTATTATGGGTTAGGCAGTGTGCCAAACTCAGCATACAGTAACTCATTTGATGTTCTTACTACCCCATATACAAAGTAGTCTTTGTAATAATTGCCTTACAGAAGAACTAATGGAAGCTTAGAGAAATGAAGTAATTTGCCCAAGTTTACACATTTAGCAAGTGGAATAAAATCAGAAGTCCAATTTAGGCAGAATTCCAAATGATTTTACATCCTGTATCCTTAACAACTGTGCTATAATGCCCGTGAATACAAGTTTAAAATAGTAAATTATTAAAACAAAAACTAAAAAAAAAACACACACACTTTTAATTCTCCACCCTCATTTGTTGATTTCAGTTACTCTTTTTTGTAATTTCCCCTTAACACAGGAATCATGCATGCATATTTGAAATAGTGTCCTTGGCCAGGCATGGTGGCTCATGCCTATAATCCTGTAAAGAGAAAAAAAAGAGTGTCCAATAAATCATTTTATAGTTTTTTTAAGCAAATAACACAGTTTTTATGATAATATTATTATTTAGGAAGCCATAATTGTAATGTTTGTTTAAATTTTTATCATGTGGAAAAATGATTTAATGGGCCATTTCCCTCTCCTTGAACTTACAGGTTATTGCCAAATCAATAGCGTTATATATGAAGTTTTACTTTGTATTATTTCCTTAGAACAAGCTACCAGAAAAGTGACTCTTGAGTCATGTTCTATTTTTTGCATAGGTTTTCAAACTGCATTTATATATGAATTACATATGCCCCTTCTGAATTTATTTTATTTTATTTTTGTGGGTACATACTAAGTATATATATTTATGGGATACATGAGATCTTTTGATATAGGCATACAATGTGAAATAAGCGCATCATGAAGGATCCCCTAAAGCATTTGTCTATTGAGTTGCAAACAATGCATGTATACTCTTTCAATTTTTTTTTTTTTTTTTTGAGGTGGAGTCTTGCTCTGTTGCCCAGGCTGGGGTGCAGTGGCAGTATCTTGGCTCACTGCAAGCTCCGCCTCCTGGGTTCACACCATTCTCCTGCCTCAGCCTCCAGAGTAGCTGGGACTACAGGTGCCCGCCACCATGCCTGGCTAATTTTTTGTATTTTTAGTAGAAATGGGGTTTCACCATGTTAGCCAGGATGGTCTCGATCTCCTGACCTCGTGATCTGCCCGCCTCAGCCTCCCAATATTTTAAAATAATTGTACAGTTAAGTTATTATTGACTATAGTCACCCTGTTGTGTTATCAAATAGTAGGTCTTATTCGTTCTTTCTAACTGTTATTTTTGTACCTGTTAACCATTCCCGCCTCTCCTCCACCCTCGTTACTACCCTTCCCAGCCTCTGGTAACCATGCTTCTACTCTCTGTGTCCATGAGTTCAATTGTTTTGATTTTTAGATCCCACAAATAAGTGAGAAGACGCAATGTTTGTCTTTCTGTACCTGGCTTATTTCTCAAAGGAAGACATACAAATGGCAAACGGGCATGTAAAAAGGTGCCCAACATCATTGATCATCAGAGAAATGCAAATCAAAACTATAATGAGATACCATCTCACCCCAGTTAAAATGGCTTATATCCAAAAGACAGGCAATAACACATGCTGGTGAGGATGTGGAGAAAAGGGAACCCTTTTGATTTTGTCTTTGCATTGCTATAAAACACTAGTGATTGTTTTTATGAACATCTGTTTGTGACATCTTCTTGACATAAATTGAAGGGCTTATCTGGTTAAATTGGTCAGTGAGTAAGTTCTCTTTCCTCTTTCACTGCTATGTCTAAGTGCCCCTTGATCTTGGTGCCCTGTTGAACTTGTCTAATAAGGGCTGACTTGTTCTTTGCCAAGATGTAGCAGTAACTATGTTTAACTACAAGAACATTTTTAATAATTATCATCTGTCATCATGAAGAATATGCAAATTAACCACATAAAGAAAATGCTTGTAAAGCATGATGCAGTTCTTTAATAAAATCTAATAAAAGTTTATCTTTATAGGAACTCACAAATATGAAGTAAGTGAAATAACTTCCTGATACTGGTTTTTAAATCTAAAACATAGAAATAATTAAATGGGCTTAAATTCACACAGTTCCTAATAGCAATCAACGAGAAGGATCCTTGGAAAGAATCTTCTACTACACCCTGCATTAACTTGGCCTGCCTTTTTCACTGTGAGTGTTGCTGTAGCAAACACCTACACATGGTAATCCTGTTAAATATGCAAACCTGGAAATAGGAGAAAGTGAATACTCCATGGGACAACCCCTGACTAGGTGCTGCTATGTAAGTCCCAGCTGTTCACATTGATGACTAGATCACACTTTTAGGCTTGTTTTTCCTCAATCCTGTTCCCCTCTTTCGATTCCTTGAATCCTATTCCTTGGAATAATTTCTAAAATTAAACTACCTGCATGAAAACGCTTGCTTGCATTTGCTTTTTGGAAAAACCTAGGCTACAACATGGAGAGTTTGTGCATCTGATTTAGATGAATTGAAAAATTCAAAGGGGGATTTTAAGATGAAAATTTTGAAACTCAGGAGAAATGATAGATGTTTTCAATCTAGGCATGTTGATTGTTCTTTGTTTTCATTATAAGCTCATTGCAAAACATTAAGAGGAAAAACTATGGACTTAAAAAAAAGTACTAATATTTTCAATCCCCAGAAGCAATGGTGGTTAGTATGTTGATATCCAGTTTCGTTCATGCATATAAATATATTTTCTTTGCAAAACTTCATGAACTATATGATCCCAATTTTGTGCATAAACATCATTTGTATACATCTTTGCACTGTATAAACTTTAAAATGGACCTTACATTTGCAGCACTATATTGCATTACATGCATTTGCTGGATTTATTTTGCTATTCCCCTAGTTTTGGACATTACCTATAGATCTACAAATATTATCATTAATTTTAATATTTACAGAAATATTATCAAAATAAAATAATAATGAATGGGCCACATTTCTACTGGAAATGTTGTATTACATTATATTTCAACTGGTGGTGTATGTGAGTTCTCCCTTTGCTATTACCATTGTAGTTGTTCTGTGTGTATATGTGTATAATTTGAAGGGCAATTGGTATCCATCTTTACTCCTTGGCATTTACATGATTGTTTGTAAAGTTGGGCATTACTTCAAGCTTTTCATTTGTTATTAGCTAGTTGTACTTTTTATTTTTTTGAATTAGCCTGTTGTCTTAAGCAATTCAAACCAAAAAAAAGAAAGTTCTATCAAAAGTTCATAAAAGAGAGGAAAAGGACAAGATTAGTGCTCTCAATAAAGGTGACTGTGATAGTTAATACTGAGTGTCAAATTGACTGAACTGAAGGACAAAAAATATTGTGCCTGAGTGTGTCTGAGGGTGTTGCCAAAGGGGGTTAACATTCGAGTCAGTGGACTGGAAAAGGTAGATCTGCCCTCAGTCTGGGTGGGCACAATCTAATCAGCTGCTGGCACAGCCAGAATAAAAACAGGTAGAAGAACGTGGAAAGACTAGACTGGCTTAGCCTCCCAGCCTACACCTTTCTCTGGTGCTGGATGCTTCCTGCCCTTGAATATCAGACTCCAAGTTCAGCTTTGGGACTCAGACTGGCTTCCTTGCTCCTCAGCTTGCAGACAGCCTATTGTGGGACTTCACCTTGTGATCATGTGAGTCAATACTCCTTAATAAACTCAGATAGATAGATAGATAGATAGATAGAACCTATTAGTTCTGTCCCTCTAGGGAACTCTGACTAATACAGTGACCTAAACCTCCTGCACACAACACACAGACACACACACACACACACAGACACACACACACACACACACACACACAGACAGGTATTTAAAACATACTAAACCTATGAAATATAAATTGTCCCAGTCAGTATTTTAGTCTTGAGTGAACATAAAGAAAAGAAATTTTTAAGAACTGTCACAAAAAAGAAGAATGAAAAGAAAAAATAAAGGCTATCAAGGTATTTCACGTCTTAACTGGCCAACACACACATATACACTAAGCACATACAAACTTGTTTTCACACAGAAATCTGGAGAATATGAGTAGAAATGGATATTAAAAGTGTGGAATAATGGTGTAAGAAACATAAAGTTGGATCAGGATGAATTTATTCATATGGGCCCACTAAGCAGAGATTCTGGACTCCATCTTCTAGGGCAAGGGATAGGAAAGTGTTCTAACAGTTTGTTTGATTGTTTGACTGAAACATGGACCAAAAGATGGACTACGTTAAATGAAGTTGAAATTCCAGAGTTGCCTTCATATACTGAAGGGAGGTATCCAAAGGCCTTAGGGTGATTAGAATGTTAGAGAGGATTTATCTTGTAAGACCTGCTCACCCACCCCAGGAGTGTCCAGAGGACACACCTGTCACCATGACTGTGAGAAATAAATTTGTGAGGGGAGCCCCAGCATCACTGAAGAGCACCATAGGTCAGACATTACAGTGGCAGCTGCCATCACCAAACTAGGATCCTTAAATGCAAGGGAGATAATTAGTGTCAGGGGCCGGGTAGCAGCACTTAATCACCAACGACAAGGTGGGCGTGACTACCATAATGCACAGCACAGTCAAAGCAGTAATCAGAACAGTCCGACTTGCTGAGACCTATGGCATTGGCTAGTTTGTCATTGTGTCCCTAGAAGAGAAATAGATGGGCATTCTACTAAATTCTCTCCTGATCCTTATAGACAGAATTCTAGGTCAAATGAACTAAAGACCAATTTGAATCACCAAGACAGTGTCATGGCCCCTCAGTCAGTTCCCAGACTTGAACCAGTTTACAGACCCAGAATCCCTTGAATGACGGAGAGGCTGGGTCCTTTTGAGGAAGAACCCTATTCCATCAACAAAAATGTATACCGCTATTACTTCCAGCCTTTCCCAAAAGGACTTGAGGCTTCACATCAGACACTGGGAAAAAGAAATTAATCAGATTCTTCAGGAACTAGTGGGTAATACTATTTCCAGGAGATCCAAAACATCACTGTGGCCCAGTGGTCAGAGTTGGGGCTTACAGTTTTCATGTCATCAATGGAATTTTAGTTCAGGTCTATCTCATAGTGGACTCCGTAGTTCTCAAAACCCATTCAGTGGCTATTTCCCCAGTTCTGGCATGCATAATTGGAATAGACATACTCCACAGGTGGCAGCATTTCTACATGGTAATGCTTACTTTTAATACATGATGACTCTCTCACATAAAACTGAAAATATGTGCTTCTTCCTCAAACTAATGCCATGCTCATGAAGTCCTCAGACTTTGGACAATGCCCATCCTCCTTGTATGCCTTAGAGTAATATCAGGAACTCTTTGATTTTGTGATCATTAAATAAAACTGCACACACAATGTTTTTTTAATAATCTTTGGTTTCATTTTCTGTGGCTTCAGTTATCCATGGTCAACTATATTCAGAAAATATTTAATGAAAAATTCCAGGAACAAACCATTCATAAATTTTAAATTGTGTGCCATTCTGAGTTACAGGATGAAACTGCATTCTGCCCTGCTCTGTTCTGCCTGGGATGGAAGTAGTCCCTGTGTTCAGTGTACATATGCTGTAGACACTCCCTGCCGATTGGTCATTTAGTAGCCATCTCCACTATCAGATCAACTGTCAGGAGATTGCAGTGATGTGATCAAATAATCCTCATTTTACTTAATAATTGTCCCAAAGCACAAGAGTGGTGATGCTGAAAACTTAGATATGCCAAAGAGAAATCATAAAGAGCGGCTGGGCATGGTGCTCACACCTGTAATCCCAGCACTTTGGGAAGTTGAGGTGGGTGGATCACCTGAGGTCAGGAGTTTGAGACCAGCCAGGCCAACATGGTGAAACCCCGTCTGTAATAAAAATACAAAAAATTAGCTGGGCATTGTGGCAGGCGCCTGTAATCCCAGCTACTCGGGAGGCTGAGACAGGAGAATCACTTGAACCTGGGAGGCGTATGTTGCAGTGAGCCGAGATCATGCCATTGCACTCCAGCCTGGGCAACAAGAGTGAAACTCCATCTAAAATAAAATTAAAAATAAAACATAAAGTGCTTCTTTTAAGTGAAAAAGTAAAAGTTCTTGACTTAATAAAGAAGAAAAAATTGTATGCTGAAGTTCCTAAGATCTATGGTAAGAATTAATCTTCTGTGCAGAAAACTGAGAAGAAGAAAAAAGAAATTTGTGCATAGCATGTATAGGATCCTATCCAAGGTTCAGGCATCCGATGGGGGCCTTGGAACTTACCCCTCACAGATAAGAGAGGACTACTGTATTTGCTGGCAGTTTCTACCATCATTGTTACCATCATTATTCAAGACCTGCAGGAAATATATGTAGGAAAAGATGAGATGAAGTCAATTCATGATTAACATTGCTTGGGTTTATGACTACTTTTTACATCCTTGGAGACTAATATTTATCATTTGTCATAATACAGCAGTTGCTGTATATTCTACCTCACGTTGAGAGAATAGTTAAAATGTGATCTCCCTAAAGGTTGGCATTTAAGTTACTCTTCAACAAAAAAAGATTCAAGTGGCTCAGCTACATTTCTGCACACCCCATTTGGTACTGATTTTACTGAAAACCACACTTCTAAGATGTTTAAATTGTATTTTTGCCCAGTGAAGTGAAAAGCTACCCTTTCACAAATGGGCTGTGCTGCAGTTTAGTCCATCAACCAGTTTATTCCAACTTTGTGCATTTAGAATTGCTAGAAGCCTCTTGAGCACATGATGGAAGAAATTCCTAGGAAATGAATATGAAAACAATGATCTTCTTGCTAGTGTCCCCAGAGCATTTCCTAAAGGCATTTTTCAGTCAAGAAAGGGCCCAAGATTTCAAATGCATTATGAAATCTGATGAGGATGAGGAAGATGTCAACACTGATGATCAGGAAGTGAAATATGCAAAGCAATGCCAACCTCTTCCACAGAGCAGTGACTGAGACACATGTTATGATAGACTGACAATTTATAACATGCTTTCTATATGATTCAGCAGAGAAGAGAGAAAGTAATGTTAGGAAACTACAGAATAACTTTCCCGGTTCTACATTTTGACTGCTCTGAAGTACATGCAGTGGCAGTCTTTCTTGTTTTATGTAAAAGTGTACGTGGGTGGAAAGGCAAGAATTATGGCTTATAGAAGGCTGTAGCTATCAGGGGAAATCCCTATTGCAAAGGCAGAGGAACTGAGTTGGGAAAACACACAATTTATTGGCCCCTATCTTATACTTTTCTCTTTGCAAAGCAACTTCGATAGTTAGAAGCTGCTTCACAGGAAAGAAAGAAAACAACAATAATGTATTCCTTTGTTTTAGGACTTTGGTTTTGTCTTTCTTCATATTTCTTTTTTTTATTTTCAGAAAAAGGTATCAGAGTAATGCATCTTAATTGTAAAAATGGTATAGTTTATGAGTTTATCCAATATTAGGAAAGAAAGCTATTCGATGATTAATTTATTGTCATTAATCTGTGAAGATAAGGATGCTGCAGTCTTGGTCTTAAATGCTCTGAGAACTGCGTGCCTTGTTTTCTTATAGAACATGGATGGATTTTGAACTCTGTTAGCTTTGGCCTCAGTACAAATAAGCATTTTTGTTTGTTTCTGAATGGGCAGCGTATTTGCTAAAATGCTCTGGACTCTAAATGCGCACAGACACAGTTTCCATGTTACCAAAATGTAGTAGCAATAACAGGAAACATATATTCCAACATACATTTGATGCGGTATTTTATGTGGACATAGCTTGACCGAAAGTCTTACAAGTCAAAGAAGTGTCCATCACCTTAAAGTTATTAACTTAATGGACAATATAATATAAAGTAAAACTATACAAAATTTAAACTGTGACAAAAATAAAGAACGTATTGCTCCTGTGGTTAAATTGTATTGCATTAAGGCAAAAGTAACAAAAAAAGAAACAGTACAAAATACAAAGGTACTTTGCTGGAACATTTAAAAGAAAAATCCCACCTACTCCCCCTACCCCACCCCTACAACCAGTGGGATTCATCCTGACATACAGGGAAAGTGATCAGAATGGACTCAGTGTAGACTTTGGTACTGAAAGTTGTATAAGTGTGGCATTCTATAACTCAGTTACTCTTTGTTACTCTCTGTCAACAGTATATTGGGTTTCAGATATAAAGTTAAAAATATCATTCTCTTGTATAAGATGATGGTGAAGGCAGGTGAAATATGCTAAAAGCAAATACAGTTACTGATCATCGATACTTAGAAATTATGGATTTAGTAATGGCTTAGGCTGGCCTAATTAAAGTACCAAACCAGTGTGGGTTTCATATGACAACATCTTAATGAGAGAAAACATTTATTATGGAATAGAAGGGGAAATGAAATAAAAACAGTTTGCTGCAGGTCACCTTCATGGCCACTGAAATACCTGTGCATGGCCATTTTTTTCACTCATAGAATATACTGGAACTTTGGCTTTTATTGTCTATTGGGATTCACCCTGGTTGGCTATTTGAGTGAAACTAAGAGAAACATTTTATTCTACTTGGGGCTGTAGATAATGAACCAAAAGGTCTGTTGATGAATGAATCTACACTCTGAACAGAGAGATAGGTCCATTTGTTTATACAGTTACTTAAACTTTAGCTCAGCATTAGGAGATGGGGTCACAGCATCATGTCCTCTGCTTTGGAGTAGAGGTTCTCTGTTTCTTTGATCAATCCGTTGCATTTTTCTATAACTCTTCTTGGGCCACCCAGAATTGGGATTGGAAAATCCCCTCTTAGCAAAAGAGTATACAAACAAAAATGGAATCTTTCAAAAAAATTTTTTTTTCATAAAGACTGTGAGCTAGACTTTCCCTTTGCCTCTACATATAAATTTGTTTTGGTGCTTGGGAGCAGTATCTCTTTACCACTATCCACCTCTTTACCTGTCCTACCCCTACACAGCAATTAATTTCCCTCTCTTAGTAGAGGAGAAATGGTAGTTTTCCAAGGACACACTAAAGCAATGCAGGATGAGTTGCATACTCTTTTAAATATCAAAGAATAAATCTTAGTATGTATCTTTAAATAATCAAATAATACAATTTTTAAAGATTCCTCTTTTGTTGTTAAAACAATATCCTCAGTGAATAAGATGAATCAATCAATCACCTATACCTTGATAAAACATCTGTTTTATGCCAAAACATGTTCTTGGCATTGAGGAGAGGAGAGGATACCTATACCCTTGCATCTCACGGTCTTGTGGAGAAGAAAATGAGAGAAGAAAGACTTTCATAGTGGCAGAAGAGTTAAAAACTCTACAAAGCACCAAGAAAATTGACCAGAAGAGTAATGAACAAATAGAACAAAATTGGAAGATGAGGCTGGAAAGTAGGATTGGCATTTTTTCATGGAGGATCTCTAATATCAAGTTAGTTAAATTGAAGTTTGTTCACTTCATTTTGGGGAACCGTCAATGATTTTGAAGTAATAAGTGAGAAAAATGTACTGGGTAATGTGTGTAGGTAATGTGTGTTGGAAGATAATGGAGACAGAGTAGATTTTCCAGCAAGTCGGGCAAGAGGTGATGAAGTCTAAATCAATATGTGTCAGTGGGAACAACCCCACAATAATAATGTGAGCCTTTAAAAACCATTTCCTGTGATTAGATTACATTCAGAATATTCAGAATTTAAATAACCTATCAAATTTTATGTAATCATCCTTATATAATGCTATCCATATTAACCTATATCTACTGGGTCAGTTACTTATTTTTTATTAACTCTTAGGCACTGGAGTCTGATAAATCCAACACTGTTTTTAACAAACTTTCACAGCACTGATACAGAGCAGGATTCACTATGACTTTAACAAAGAGGAAATAATTTACATTCTTGCCAGGAATTCAATGTCAACAGATATCAACTCTTAGAAGTAGACTTGTTATTAAGGTAGTGACAGTATATAAAACTCATCAATGACTAAAGGGGAAAACAGACCTTGATGCAAAACCAAACTTAAAAAGCAAAAAAGGAACATGATTATTATTGATGTCATTTGTTTAAATTTCCTATTCGAAAAAAGCACTTTAATTACCATATGCTTATCATGTTGGTTGAATTCATTTATAGAGAGAATACAATCATTAATTATCATAATTAAGACACCTGAATTCAAAATGAATAGCATTCATTCTAACCCCAGTTGTAGCTATGTTTTATCTCTGACGGTTGGGTTTCCAATCAAATGTTATCTGATTTTTCCCCTTAATCATTAAGAAATGCTTTACTAATTAGCACATGAAATTCATGCAACATCAGACTGAATTGAATCAAGGCCTATTATCTTGAGCAGTAAGACACTTTGAAATTCTCAGTAATAGGGCATGAATATGTTATACAGTTCATACACATTTCATGAGCCTCCGCATTAGCACTATTTTTTTTTTCAAGACAGTGCCATTAGTTATGCCATTTTCAGGACCTTTAATTCGATCATGCTGCTTAACAGCCTGTTACATTGTGGTGTATAAAGTCATACATTAATTTATCTTTGGTTGCACTTCGGTGAAATGGTTGTATTTGGTTGTAAATATCCTGTTTGGAATGAGAAATAGCAGGCCACCTGAAAGGTACAAAGCACTGTTGAGTGCTTTAACACTTTTTGAACAACAGTTTACAATTTGTTCAACATATCCTCTCTTAGCTTGCCCTTCTCCACCTTACTCTCTGCCCAGGGGACTGATCTGTGTGATGACAACAGTGGACCTCCTCTAGGGCCTGTTTCTCTTGGGACTTGGCTAACGGGCATCTCTGACCAGAGATTGAGGGGAACTGGCTCCTTCCTTCTGATGTCACTTGAGAATGGCTGTGTCCTCAATTGAAGGTCCCTGCTTTGGTCAAAAACAACCTCGTGTTGAGGATTCGTTGTTTTCAGATCCTCTTTTTCATCCATTCTCGTGCTTCTTCTCTTCCTAGTTTTGCATCAGTCCTTGTGGTTCCTGTACACCCTGTCCACATGTTTGTTAATACGTGCTCCTCAGCTGCCCTGGTCTGAGTGTGCTGTCTGTTTCCTTCTGGGACTCTGATTCATGCTGTACAGAACATTCTGCCACGGCAGGGAAAGGAATGGCCTTTTGTGTAGCTGAAGCTCCCAGACATGGCACATAAAATGATAGCCATCGGGGTGTTAACAAATAACCATAAAGACAAAAATTAGCAACATAGTTGTTGTTTAACACTGAGAGACTACCAACAAAATCTGGATTTCTTGCTAATGATCTGACAATGCAGAGCCCACATTCCCACATGGCAACAGTCAGTGGAGGCTGAGCAGATCTGTATACTTTGGACACCTGGAAGGTGTACTTTCCAATCTGCCACATTCCTTCTTAGTCCCTATGGCCTCTCTTTTGCATTATGGCTAGCTTCAATCTTTAGTACTCCTTGCAATACTTGGCATTCGTGGTAGGCATTTGACTTTTTACCTTCTGCACTAAAGAATCTTGCAGTCAATGGGTGGTATACAAGTGCAGTTGAAATATCATTTGGGAATTAATATATTTTAATCTATATTTCCACAAGGATTTAATAATGTTTGGGTGATAAACTTGCTCTATTTGCCTGTTCACATCTTTTTCCTTCCCTCCTCTTCTCTCCTCTCCCCTTTCTTTCTCTCTTTCTTTTCTTTCTTTCTTTTTCTTTCTTTCTTTCTCTTTCTTCCTCTCTTTCCTTTCTTTCTCTTTCTTTCTTTCTCTCTCTCTCTTTCTTTCTTTCTTTCTCTCTCCTTCCTTCCTTCCTTCCCTTTCTTCCCTTTCTTTTCTTTCTTTCTAAGTCTCACTCAGTTGCCCAGGCTGGAGTGCAGTGACATGATCTCGAATCACTGCAACCTCTGCCACCCTGGTTCAAGCGATTCTCCTGCCTCAGCTTCTGAGTAGCTGGGATTACAGACATGCACCACCATAACTGGCTAATTTTTGTATTTTTAATAGAGACAGGTTTTACCATCTTGGGCAGGCTGGTCTTGAACTCCTGACCTCAAGTGATCCACCTGCCTCGGCCTCCCAAAGTCCTTGGATTACAGGCGTGAGCCACCATGCCCAGCCTGGCTTATTCATTTCTTTGATTAGGTCATTGGTACAAGTAATTTTTAGTTGAGACTGTTTATTATAATATGTAATATATTAATTAAATTTTGTTAAATACAATATAATTATATGATGCCAAGTTAGCAAATGTTTTACTATATGTAAAATTTTAATTTATTATATTTGCAAAGTATATAATGTTTTTACAAGTAAAGTTAAATCAGTTTCAGACAACTACACACTTTCTATTTTAACTTTATTTAACAATTATAGCTGTGTATAGTATTGCCCTTTAAAAATGAATCATAGATTAATAGATGCCATATGATTACATTAACCAGCTTTTAATAGTTTGTATTAAATATTGTGCTATGATAAATCCTTGGGTTGATCATTCTTATACATATATTTTTTGTATGTATTACTTTTTTGTGGAATGTTCACAATATAATCCCAGGAAAAAACAAAAAGCTGGGCCTTTTTAACAAATATTTGAACACATTTTCTTAGTTCAAATAAATAGATTAATTAAATTTGAGTTTTGCCTGTATCAGGCACTGAGCAGACTGCAGTGTTTTTACATGTATTAACTTACCTCTTCCATTCAAATAATTATAAGCATGGAGTCACAAAATTCTAAAGATCAGTGAATATTTATTTAGTATCTACTATGTGCAAGGGAAAGCTTCAAGCTCTAATAAGACATAGAGGTGAATTAGACCAACATCCTTCACCTTTTAGACTCTTAACATAGTTGAGTTTTTATTGCTGTTGAGTTAATGAATTTCTATGCTCTATCATGAAAATATCATATATATAATAACATAACACACACATATGGGTACTTTATATAATAAATGATAACTACTTTTCCTCTCTTTTCCACTACAATATTCATTAATTTTTTTTCTTTTTAGTAGAGATGAGGTCTTGCTGTGTTGTCCAGGTTGGTCTCAAACTCCTGAGCTCAAACAATATTGCTTCGGCCTCCCAAAGTGCCAAGATGATGGGCATAAGCCACCACACCCAGCCTCAGCTACAATATTCTTTCAATAATCAAAGAAAGCCTGGATTCTATAAAATCAAATCTGGAATTAACTGTTAAGCAAAGGTTTCATTTTGCAATTATGTCAAAGCCTTGATTTAATATTATGTGCGTTGGGGGTGTCTGGGAGTCTGTGATGGTGCATGTATAGACAAGGCAAAACTTCTGGAGATGGGTAGATTACTCCACAATACTGAACTCTGTGCAATTCAAAATCTGAGTTCATGGTTCACAGATGTCTTCAGTCTAGGAAGTTCTTTAGTTTTCATCAAATCTATTCCTCCTTTATACAAGTGAGAAAACTGAAGATCAGCAAGCTAGAGTGCCTCACCTACTGCAATGCAGCTAATTAGCATCACGACTGTTTCCTACAACTTATTAATCCAGAGGCTGTGGTCCAGATGAAGTTTGAAAACATACTGGGTTTTTGTAGTTAACTTTGTTTTCCTTTATTCATAGAAAGCGATGAGATTTTCAATCACGCTATGTGGGGTCTTTCACATTGTCCCAGTAGTCTGAATAAAAAACTGTGGATTGTATGCAATGTTATTTCAAGATCATAAGATGTTTTGAAAACAGATGGCAGTATACATGAAAGATCACAGGAGATAGCAGTTCACAGCAGTAATTAAAAGGATCCTGTACAATAGAAAGGCTTTTAAATTAAGCAGTAAACTTTACATAATTAGGCATTCTTTTTTATTGTTCATATTTGGCACACGTTTTAGACAGAAATTTTTTTTTCTGCCAACAGTATCTTTTTGTATATTTTATGCAGAAAAGGCATTTGAACATTGTGCTCAGTCAGAAATCAGAATGGGAGAGTAAAATGGGGGACAGAGAAATCACTGAAACACAGAATAATTTAGGAATTTTCCTAAGGCCCTATAATGAACCCATTCCATCATCTGAAAAAAATGGCAATAGTATCGTTCATAAGGATAGGATTGCTTTGAAGAGGAAATGTCATAATGTGAAAATTCTTTGAAACATTAAACATGGACATCATTAACATACACTTTCATCAATTTGCAGTTTTGAAAAATGTGCTTTATTTCTAAAACAAAACATAAATGAAAATGTAAAAAAGATCTGGTACAAATTTCATGAATTTACCTGATAAATGGTACAAGTAGAAACATACATATCAAAAAACGGCCAGACCTTTAAAATCACCTAGCTCAAGATTTTTCAGTGTTTTGATGTAATGTTTACCGAGTAACTACTGTGGGCCATCCACTGAATTAATTAGGTACTGGTGGTTGCTAAGACAAGGACAGTTATCTGAGGTACTTCTCTCCTAGATTCAAGTCTGTGTTTATGTGTTTTAATAGAGTGTGGAATATGAACCAAAATCAGCTTTTATGAATTAACAGAATCAAGTGTTTAATATGGTAAAAGACAGGGTTATTGTGATGGAATATAGAACATTTACAAATCCTTCTGCAGAAATAAACTTTGTTCCAATAAGGAGTTGAAATTATCCATGCGGTGCCCTAGTACCATACATGAGGCAGTGCTTTTTACCTCTTTAAAGTGTAATCCTGTATTAATCTTCAGATTCTTCTTTGATACTTGCCTGCTCTTGATTTTTGGCAAGTTGGAATCTTGCTAAATTGTGATCTTCCAACTTCTTCACTATTTGAATTCCACCTCTTTATCAGCTCCTTGACTTTATTGAATAGAAAGTCTCTCAGGTACAGGAAATGGGATTTGTGTAGTGTCAAACATGAGACTGAAATACAATATGGCCTTTGTGAAGGTCAAGCTGCTCTCCATTGCCACCTATTCTGAAAATTAAATGAAAGTTTTACCTTTCCAACTACTTAACCAAAGCCAGATTTGGTGACTAAGTAGGTCACAAGTGACATTCTTTTCTTGTCTCTTCATTTGTGCTACAATTTTGCACCCATTTTTAATGGACCTACATGGATGGCATTGTTTTTTTGGAGGACTTTTCCTCCTCAACACATGCTGTTGGGGCCTGTCCAGTAGCAGCATGTCTTATGCCTGGGCCAATTCGGACTCTTCCAGGAAATGTGATAGTCAGACAATAGGGAACTGACTGCATTTGCTGAAGTCACAGGCTGGGAGCCTAGAGTTGCCAATGATTGTTTTCACTGAGTGCACAAAATATTCATATGAGACAGAGACAAACAGAGCTTAGAATCGGGGGATACAGAGCCTTGATGGATTCAGAAGGGTGACTGGTACAGCCCACCAGGATGATGGATATTTTTCTTTGTTTTATTTTTTCTTAAGCTACCATAAGAGCTTGCTAAAGGAAAATTTCTGACAAAGGAGAGAATTAATATACTTGAATTCCTAGTATTAGGCCTTTTATATAAGACAATTTATCTGAATTATATTGATAAGCAAATGATTAAATAAGACATGGCATCTACAGTGAATTATGATCTAAGCGCAAAATTGTGCTCCTATATCATCAGTTAGGTACCACTGAGAAGGGTCTACATAACCTGCCCAGGGACTGGGGGGCAGTTTAGCAGGTATTTCTAGGTGATGGCCATGCTTGACCCTGTCATGAAACTAGGAGTTATTTAAGTATAGAGGTGTAGGACTCATTTTGTGTAAAATAAGAATGGAAAACCTAAGTCAAACAGTAAGGCACTTTCTGGCTGATTAAAAAATCACAATCTAATAGTTTTAGCTTCAGAAATATCTTAAGTGATTGCCTCCTGAAAGAAGAAAGGTGCTGTCCCATTACTGAAGGTGTTCAAACAGATGGCTTTATGACCTTTGGCTGGAGAATTAGCAGAGGAAATTCAGACATTAGGTAGAAAATGAAAACTTCAAATTCTGTTTGAGAACCCATGATTTATTTAAAATGCAGATGATAAATAAAATGCATATTTATTCCTGTGTAAACAGAAGGTATAATCCCCTGAGCACATGGGTCCTTTGTAGAAGCCATGCCACTTTCAAGATATATCTTTCTAGGAAGAGAGAAGCATGTTTATTGCAAAATGTAGGAGCAATTCATCTATCAGATAACAGGATCCAGCACAGCTCACACATGGGTCACTTGTCAAGCAAGCAACTCAGAACACCCAGAAATTCAGATAAATCAGACCAAATCATGCCACTGAATCTGACAGTATTATAAGCACTATAATCCTAGCTGTTAATGATATTGTGCCATTTATATCCAAAACAGAGGTAAAATTACTGTGGACATTCTAAAGCTGCTAAAAGTGAAAAAAGCAAAAGGGTAGTCATCGTGAAAAACTTTAACAACTAAAAGCAAGCAGGGAATAGGCTTTAATTAAGTAATAAATTAAGTAGTACTAATAGGCAGGGTTTGGATAAGAGTTCACTGTTGAATCTTTGATCATTACTATAGATTAGCAAAATGGCTGGAAAAAAAGAAAATAAATGAACATTTTGTTTGGGAAATAAATGTTTATTTTTCCTTGTAATTTATTCATACAATGAAATATTCAACATCATAAACATACCCACAAATTTATATTTATGTAAACATGTGCATATATATATAGATAGATAGATGTATACGTTTGTGTATGCATACACAAATGCACATTTACCTCCTTTCTAAAGCAAAATTTACCTAACAGAGAATCTTTTCTTTGTGACATGAGGTCAATAAGTATTTGCTAAATAAATTAACTAATGAGTGCTTGCTATTCTAGAGGCTGTGATTACAGTAGAGCATTAAATGGACACAAATCATGACTAAGGGGTTTCAATTGTTCACAGATTAGAGTCCTCATTGTTACTTATTCTAATTCTATAATCCAGAAGGCCTGCAGGCTTATTGCTAGGTGGGGTGGCTTTGCCCTGTCCCAAATGACCCCAGCATACTGGATATTTTTAGTTTCCTAGTGCTGTTAGTTTCCTTTATCCACAGCTTTCAGTGCACTGATGGCTCAAGGAGTTTGAGACAGTTCAGAAGCCTCTGTATGGATGCATCAAAGACCATCTGTATTTAAGATAACTACTTTCATTGTTCAAATCTTTGTTTATATCTTTTCTTCTTTATGGGTCCATGGCTACAAAATTGTTATATATATGGTCTTTGATGGGGCAAGGAGTTACAGTAAATAAACATGGTCAAAACACTTTAGTGGAAAGAAGAAAGTTGATGTTTTGTAAAGAAGTGAGCAAAGAAATCTACTTTGATCCAGGGTGATCTTTACAGATGTTGCTGCCCTTTTGTGAAATAAATACAAACTTTGGACTAGGAAAATTTCATGAGCAAACCAGAAAGTGAGACAGTTAAGTAAGGAAACAAACTAAAACCTATTTCATTATTGAAAAATGCTTTTTTTAAAGATCTAATATTAACTTTTGCTTCATATATAGCAAATGTATTGTCCTCTCTCACAGATGACTAATTAAGATATAGGCCAACTGAAATATTTTATATAGAACCATCTAATTGATATAAATAATCTTTAAAGAATTTATTCTATAGTAATAATTTATTAAATTTGTGATGTTTGTTCATTAATCAGAGAAATTCATATAAAAACGGACTATGTGTGGATAGGTAGATACACACACATACACATGCACACAGATGCATGCATGCACACACACACACACCAGTGAACAGTTGCACTGAAGTCTTCATTTTTCTCTTAACCTGATGTCTGTTATAGTTGAATTGAAAATAATATATGGCAGAAAATGCATTTTCCAAATAGAAAATCTCTTGGTAGACCTTAAAGCTATGAAAAATTTAGGGCATCATTTAGCACATCATAAGTTTAAGTATTGATAACAAATACACTTTAGGTTACAGATTAACCTACATATGAAAAAATGTTTTAGATGATTATAGCACACATGGTGTTAAATTCCTTTAGTTGACTTGACCTTGAAGATTTTGCAATAGCCGGAAGTTACTGAGATTTCACAAGGAAGATTCTGCCTGCATCCTCTTGTTCAATGCAGTCCATTTGCTATGACTTCTCATTTAGTCACTCTGGTTTGATTCATGAAGGATACATAAAGCTGTTTGAATATGCATAGGAGGCCTTGTATTCAATCTAATGTTCTCTGTTCACATCTGCAATTCTCTGAATATTCTAAATGAATAATATATCAAAACAGATGGCAAACTTTTTTCCTCCATAACTCACCTGAAATAGTCCTTGACCTCAATGTGAGTTAGGCTGACTTGAATCCACCGAATTTGTTCCCACAGGAATTCTGAGTATAGGAGTATGAGTAAAATTTGTGGCTTATATTTATTTTCCTCTCCCAAATTGCACCAATTAATCCTGAAGACTGATAATATAGGTTTTCATATATCAGGTAATTTTAATAAAACCTCACAAATTAACATGAAATAGATTGACATATGTTAAACCCAAGCCTCAGTTTCTCTTCAGTGGTCAGATGGTACCCAGACTATTTGTGTTTGTTGTGGACTGTTAAGAAACTTTGCCTTTTATTGTAATTCTAACATGTGTCAGGATAACTTATATATTTAAATATCAGAAAGACTTTAAAATTGACATATTTTGAAGAGATATCTACACTCTTTGTTCAATTAGGCATTATTCACAATAGCTAAGATATGGAAATGATACAAATGCTCTTTGACAGATTAACAGATAAAGAAAAGGTGATACACACACACATGTATATCAATAATATTTTATCTCTCTCCATATATATACAGTCTGTCTTTTGTATCTCTGGATTCCACATTTGTGGGTTCGACCAACCGTGAATAAAACATAAAATATATAACATAAAACCCTGAATAAAACATAAAACATATTTGAAAAAAATAAGAATTCAACAATAAAAAATAGTACAAATAAAGTAATAACTATTTACATAGCATTTACATTGTATTAGTTATTATAAATAATTCTACACAAATTTAAAGTATACAGGAGGATTTGTGTTGGTTATAGGCAAATATCATTTTATTAATTCTATATCATTTTATTAATATATGAGATATTTGAGCATCTGTAGACTTTGGTATCCATGGAGGTCTTGAAACCAATCCCTGTGGATACTGAGGGATGACTATATATGTCATATTTTTCAGCCTTAAAGGAAAAGGAAATCCTGCCATTTGTAACAACATAGATGAACCTAGGAGACATTATGCTAAGCCCATCACAGGACAAATATTGCATGATTCCATATATATGTGGTATCTAAAATTGTCAAACTCATAAAAGCAGAGAATAGAATGATAGTTGCCAGGGGCTGGAGAAGAGGGAAATGAAGAATTGTTCTGTGATGTGTATAAAGTTTCAGTTATGCAAGATGAATGAGTTATAGAGATCTATTGCACAACGTAGTACCTATCATTAACAATATGACATTGTGCAGTTTGAAAAACGTTGAGGACAGATATCATGTTAAGTGTTCTTACCCAAAACAAACACACACACACACACACATGCATACACACACAGATACTGACACACAAATTTGAGATGATGGATATGTTTGTTAACATAGTTGTAGTGATGGTAACATGAGTGTAGGCGTTATGTCCAAACTCATCAAGATGTACACATTCAATGTAGGCAATTTTTTATATGTCCATTGTACATCAATAAAGCTAAAAATGAGTTAAAATACTTACTTTCAGTGTGAAAACAGGAAATGGAAATCTCACTGTTTTGTATCCTAGAATTCTACTGATATGAACATCATCTTGCTCTGGCAGAGGTCAATAGTGGTGCTCTTAGTAGAAGCAGATGACAGAACTCCTCACACCAGAAACACACATAGGTACACTGGAAACATACTCCACAGTGGCACATGGTGTGTCACAATTTCCTACATAGAATAGAATTTACTCTAAGATGAAGCACCGATTGACACTTAGGTGTGTGGGCACAAGTGTGGGTGCATATGTGTGTGTATAAGGAGGGCAAAAAAATGGGCTCTCAATCTATGAAATGATAGAATGTAGTTTTACTTTTTGAAATAGAAAAAAATTATACTTTATTCAAAAATTTCTCCATTCATCTTGATTTGGCAAGATAAGTTTTAGATTTCTTCACTGTGGTCACTGGAATCTTCACTGGAATCTTGGTCCATCTCATGAGTTCATTTTCAATCATTTCATAATAAATATTTGTTGATTTAATTGATTTTTAAACAAGGAGTCTAAAGAAAATGAGCTGGTATTTTTCTTTATGAAAAATACTTATGAGCAGTATCGCAGTCTACAGATGAAATGGATCCTACAGTTCTTGGAGCTTTCCAAAACCAGATTCCTTGTGACATGGTAAACTCTTTACCTAACCAAATTTGAATTTGACAAACCTCAGTTATGCATAGATGCCATCATCAGATTCCTTCCCTACAAATGAACACACTTAGCTCTGTGGAGATCATGGGAGAGTTGTGAACAACAATATTGTACTTAAAAAAAATTTCCTTGAAATATTCAGGTATAGTGTGGTGCTAAAGGTGGAAGGTTTTGAGTTAAAAAGCTTGAATTAGAATTCTGGCTCTACTACTTTATGTGTGACTTTGGACAGTTTACGTAAAATGGGAATAATAGGAATAGCCATTTAGGATAATTGTGATGATTAAATTAAACAAAACAGGCACCATGCTTGGCACTTAGTAATCACTCAACAATGTTAATGTAACTGTTATTATTATTTCTTCTTTTTTTGTCTCCTTTTCTTAAGCTTTTAAGTTGAGGAGTACATGTGCAGGTTTGTGACACAGGCAAACGTGTCATGGAGGGTTGTTGTGCAAATTATTTCATCACCCAAGTATTAAGCCTAGTACCCATTCGTTATTTCTCCTGATCCTCTCCTTCCTCCCACCCTCCATCCTCCGATAGGCCCCAGTGTGTGTTGTTCCCCTCTATGTGTCCATGTGCTCTCATCATTTAGCTCCCACTTATAAGTTAAAACATGCGGTATTTGATTTTCTGTTCCTGCATTAGTTTGCTAAAGATAATGGTTTCCCAGCTCCATCCATGTCCCTGCAAAGGACATGATCTCATTCTTTTTTTATGGCTGCATAGTATTTCATGGTGTATATGTACCACATTTTCTTTATCTAGTCTATCACTGATGGACATTTAGGTTGATTCCATGCCTTTGCTATTGTGAATAGTGCCGCAATGAGCATACACATACATGTGTCTTCATTTTGAAGCTAAAGGTTAATATATCAATTATAGTTTCTACATGCATTGGTGCTATAAACCTTGAATCTAGATTATTAAAAGATTTGCTTATATGGGCTTCAAATATGTCTACTTTTTAATGGGTGGGTAAATTTGTGAACCACTTATTACTTAAGGCTAAAATACTTCCAGAGATCTTTTGCCTCATCAAACATGACTGTTTTTGTTTGTGGAATTCAAAGAAACCCATCATAACCTGATTCTCTTAAGACTAATTGGATTTGTTGGAGAATTATTAAACAGACACACATACACAGAAATATAATTTCTGACATTTCATACTCTAAAGTAAAAGTTGAATTAAATGTAAGAAAAATGTCATTTATTTTTTAAGGAGAGCATAAGGTGATAAAAACAGCCTCTCAATTAATGTTCATGCCCTCAGAGTCATACTTTAGAATTAATATAAATTAGTCCCCAGAAATCTATTTTAATAAGTCATTTGAGAAGAGAGAAAAAAATGATATAAGCATATCCCCTGAGAAATAAATAACTCTTCTTCAAGTTCAACTTGAGCTTCTGGACCAAAAGTGACTGGATCAAGAAATTCAGGTTAAAACAGAAGTATAAAAAAAAATGAATATTATTCTTAAACGGGATGGTCTACTTCTGAGGAGATTTGCATATATCCCAAAGTCCAGTGGAGAAAAGTGGGCAAGAAGAAAAGACAAGTGAGATAAAAATTACTTAATAGGATTCAGAAGTCTTAGGGGATTAACAGGAAAACAGCAAAAGACTGCAGAGCCATTTCTCTATCCTTAAGAGGAGATCATTCAAAGCTATTTTAAAATCAAAGAAAACAAAAATAACTTCTCAAATCCATCCCTAGGACAAAAAGAAGTTAAATCTGAGCCCAATTTGTATTGAATTTTGTTCCTAAGAACAAATTGGCTTAGAAGAATATATAACTTCACTTTGGTAGGAAGGCACCAGAATAGGAGAAGACATCATTATTTGAGCCCTTGGCTAATTCTTTTAAAAATATTATTTAATATTTTATAAGCTTGATAACTTCATCTTTCCATAAAATCATGTCTCTGAATTGATATTTTTCATTATCAAATTACATGGTGATTGAATCCGTGTAATTTGTAAATCCAATCCATTCACACACACACCCACCCCAAGGTATCATCCAAAATTCCAAGTTTGTTTCTAACTTAAAAGTATAATAAAACAGAATATTGTTCTGTCTCTCAACTTACTGTACATTTGTTTTTGCCTCAAACATAGAGAAACCAAAAGCATTCTTTTCTAAAGATTTTCTCTTTGTTTCATAATTCATATTTATCTAGATATTTTCTTTATTTTTTCGTGATTTTTTCCACCAGTATTTCCAGAATCCAAACTGTATTGCCTTAAAGGGATGCACATAGGAAACGTGTTATCAAGAATCTTTTCACAATTAAAAAATTGTTTCATTGCTGCTCAGGCCACACTTAGCGGAAAGAATCCTGTTAAGCAGAAAGCTTGAGGTTCTGATTCCGGTTAAGTTAGGAAATCAGAATCAGTTGTGTTTGCTAATAAGGGTGGCCCTTAATTATAATGAATAAAGTCAAAGGATAATGCTTAGGAGACGAGAGTAAATTTAGGATATTAACAGACCAAAACATCAATTCAAAGGGAGGGGGCAACACATGCCCCTTTTTCCTGAGACTGCACACTGCTAGTTAACAATTAGAGGGCTAAATAATGACAAGTATGTTCTTGAGGCTTTACAGCAATACATAAGCTTGACTGTATACAAGAATTGCTTAGGAATCTTGTCGAATATGATAATCCCTGGATTTTTACTGTGGAGACCCTAATCCAAGAGGCCTGGGTTAGAGTCTGAGGATCTGCCTGTCTAAGGAGACTCCCGGTAAATCTAGTCATGAGAGATGTTTGGCAAACTCTGTTTTGAGGTATAAAAAAGGAGCTGATGAGGCAGAATGGCTTTCTCTTTTTTTGTTTGTTATCAGTTACTTTCCCTTTTCTTCTCTCTCTCTCTTTGGTATCGGCTGCTTTGAAGCTGTGACCTCTTTGTTGTACTTTCTCTTTGTACTTTTAGAATTCTTTCCCTTTTCTTTCTTAATTTTGCTTTTCTGAGATTTTATTAAAGGTTTCACTACACAAACTTCATAGCTTAGTGCAAGGGGCAGCGAACTATGGCCCCCAGGCCAAATCTGGCCACACCCACTCACTTATAGGTGTCTGTGGCTGCCTCTGTGCTACCATGATAGAGGTGAGCAGAGACCATATAGCCCAGAAAGCCTAAATTTTTATTACCTGGCTTTTTACAGAAAAAATTTGCTCAACACTAGCAAATTCAGGACGGATGGAATCATTGAGCCTACTTTAAGAAATCTCAGAAGCGGTAGCTCACGCCTTTGATCTTAGCATTTTGAGAGGCTGAACTGGGAGATTTCTGGATAACTTGAAGGTTTTGGAGGCCAGCCTGGGCAACATAGTGAGATCCTGTCCTTACAAAAATTTAACAAATAGCCAGGCATGTAATCCCAGCTACGTGGGAGGCTAAGGCAGAAGAATCTCTTGAGCCCAGGAGTTGGAGACTGCACAGAACTATGATTGCACCACTGTACTCCAGCCTGGGCAACAGAGTGAGACCCTGTCTCTAAAAATGTAAAAAAATTAATTAAGAAATCTGAAAAGGAATATGAAGGCTGGCTTGAGAGTAGCCAAGATGGGTTCTTCTAAGTCCATACATTGGACGCAGCAAAGGATTGTCTAACAGTGGTAGGACAACTGATCCAATTTCAGCAGTGGAGAGTTATGTACCAGAATCTCAGGATAAAAGACTTCAGTCACAGAGACCAATCTTGCCTTAACCATGCTGAGTGGGTAGCTAGCTAATCAATTGTTCATTTAAGTCTAAAATTCTTTTGTATCATCTTGAGTCTCCTAACAGACCCCCTGGTCTGCAGCAGCCAGCGCTTACACAGATAAGAATCAAGTTGATAAGGCATTAGAAAGGGATTATGAAAGCCAGCTTAATTAAAGAAACTTCAATGGGATCATAAATAATCAGTGCAAGTTATTAACTTTTGACAACTGCTCATCCGTATTGAGTTTGAATGACTTCTGGCCTATAAAGTCCTTAATCTAATTCTGAGTGAATACAGTTCATAAGAGAAAATGCTCCTTAGAATACATTGGCTCTAATCAACAAATCTTTGAAGCAGAACTTTCCTCCAGATATACCTAAAGATACTCTGAATTTTTTTATATTCGTATCTTTGATCTATTGTCTTTTTCAACTGAGAAACTTCACTGGCCAAGCTTTAGGAACTTCTATATAAAGCAGATCAAATGTCATTTTCTTTATAAACCCTATCTTAGACCTTGTTGGAATCACTTTTTATTTTCTATTTATTCATTCAACATACTTGGATATTTGCCATGATAGCTATAATTTGATTTGGCAGTTTTAGTTATGTATGACCATGCATTCTTATTAAAGCATAAACCCCATGCAATCTCGCAGACCATAGTTTATTCTGCTCTGACTCCTCCAAAACGCCTCTAAAAGTGCCTTGCATGAAATAGATGATCAACATAATAATAGAACTAATCACAGTTTGTTCTCCTGTCCCCCATAGGCATACTTCTTATATGTTGGTCATATGTAGGTATCTAAGAAAAGTTTTCTCAGTAGGAGGTGTGTAACTTTTTCTTTTTGCTCATAAAATTCTCCTGAGAATTCAGGACACTTTTCTAATTTTGTTAATTTTTGTTTGCTTATTTTTTAAACACATCAGAAACTCAGCAAAATAAAGAGTGGTTATTTTGGAAAGAAAAACCAAGCTGCTTGATTTAATTTTTTAATTGGTGAGATAAACATTCTGTTCTGTGTTCTGCATGCTTTTCCATATTAGTGTTAATTTTTACCCAATGTGTCTATGAAATAGGTTGCTATGTGGTTTTTAAAAAGTGGAAATATGGAAGCCTGAAGGATAGTGTAGGTCTGACTAATGCAATGACTCCAGGAACACTAAGAGACCACAAAGGACTTGCCAACACTATTTCTAAAAGGTTCTGGCAGGTGTAGTCTAGATCCCGATTTTCCAAACTGTGCTAGAAAGAACATTGATAGATGTCGTAGACGACAGTTCAGGTAACTATACTTACCTCATTAGATACACTGTGGTTTTCAATCTGCAAAATTTATACTGATGACTTCTGGATTAGATATGTTGTGGAAAGAGTGTTCAAGTACAAAAAAGTTGCTGCAAAAAGGATAAAAGGTATGGAGTTATTTGCATTTATCAGAATGCAAAGTATATGCACTATAAATCTCATTTACTTCTATTACCTTGACCTTAGATGATAGCAGATAGCAAAGTTGGTGTGTGTGCACACACAGACCTTATACTTAAGTTTCTAGCTGAGATGATTCCTGAAAAGAGTGAGAGAGAATTAGAGAGTAAGAGTGCACTAAGCATGGAGAAGAATCCCAGAGTGCCAGGAAGATGGGTGGGGAGACCCCCCCCCCTCCACCCCGCCCCAGCAGTTCCGACAGGGGAGCTCCAGGATTCCCCTTTAGACTTCTTTTTTATGCACAGGAAGATAGAGATGAGGAAAGGAACAACTACTAAACAGCATTTAGGGAAGTTAAGTGTCTCAGCCCTGGGGCTAACTTAAATGTAAAGAAACAACACTACTCAGAAAATAGTAACAAAAGCAAATAAACCTTAATTACGATTTTGAAATTCAAACCCAACATAATATGCCCTCAGGTCAATAATCTGTTTTATTCCAATGAACTTAGTAACTGCTTGGTGAAAGGATAAATTTATCCTTTTGGTTAATTTGTTTTTGAATACAGAATTTCACAGAGCTACTAGAATATACCTCTTGCTTTTCCCAGAACAGACATTCTCAAAGAGGGGTCTAGGAAGTTTTGCCTTTCAACGACACTTGTTTGTGAGGCCAAATTTTCTTCATTTATTTCAACCAAAAGGATATGCAATAGACTGAACACAGAAGCAGCTATGATACTCCAGCTGTCTTTTACTGAGACATTAAAATTTGAAAAGTATAAAACAATGCTGCATTTCTAACTCCTTTTTTGTAGATGTTAACGTGTTATTTATGTTAACATGTGCTATGGTCTGAATGTTTATGTCTCTCCAAAATTCATATGTTGAAATCCTCACCTCCAAGGTGATGGTATTTGGAGGTAATAAGAGAGAATTAGGTGATGAGGATAGAGCATGAATGAATGGGGTTAGTGCCCTTTCAAGAGAGACCCCCTGGCCGCTTCCACTGTGTCAGGTTGGAGGGAGAAAAAGGCTAAGAGGAATTGCGCCTTTGCCAGAATCTGACGGTGTTGGTGCCCTGATCTCGAACTTCCACCATCCAGAACTGTAAGCAATAAATTTCTGTTGTTTATAAGTGTCAGGCCTCTGAGCCAAAGCTAAGCTGTCATTTCCCCTGTGACCTGCACGTATACATCCAGATGGCCTGAAGCAAGTGAAGAATCACAAAAGAAGTGAAAATGGCCGGTTCCTGCCTTAACTGATGACATTACCTTGTGAAATTCCTTCTCCTGGCTCAGAAGCTCCCCCACTGAGCACCTTGTGACCCCTGCCCAGGCCTGCAAGAGAAAAACCCCTTTGACTGTAATTTTCCACTACCCACCCAAATCCTATAAAACTGCCCCACCCCTATCTCCCTTCCCTGACTCTTGTTTTCAGACTCAGCCCGCCTGCACCCAGGTGAAATAAACAGCCTTGTTGCTCACACAAAGCCTTTTTGGTGATCTCTTCACATGGACATGTGTGACAATAAGCCACTCAGTCGATTGTATTTTGTTATAGTAGTCCAAATGGACTAAGACAACATTTAATGGGTTTATTGTTATTTTTAAATGAATTAATAAATAAAACCTTAAACAATTCCTCATTAAAATTTTGAATACATTAAATATCAACAGATATAACCCACATGAAGGAAACCTCTTTGGAATCCTCAATAATTTTTAAGAGTGTAAAAGGTCCATAGCCAAAAAAAAAAAAAAAAAAAAAAAAATTGAAAACTACTATCTTGGAGAGAAGTCTCATATGATTTGTTTTCCAAAATTATTTGAATCATTACAAAAAGCAACCACACTTTTGTGTGAAACTATGTCATCACCATGACAAGGCTGGAATCCTGGAATATGAAGACAGTGATGGATGCTCTGAAAGGAAAGAGTTGTATCTGATTAATCCGTCTATCTCTGTGTATGGAAGAGTTAATAGGAAAATAGTTCTTCCCAGAGGGGAAGATTGTGGAAGATTATTCTGAAATGTAATTTTATTATCCTCTTTGCATAGGGCACATACCAGGAGTTAAATCTTGGAGAAAGGGCCGGGCGTGGTGGCTCACGCCTGTAATCCCAGCACTTTGGGAGGCCAAGGTGGGCAGATCACGTGAGGTCAGTTCAAGGCCAGCCTCAAAGCAGGGAGAATGATCTGAATAATTTCTGGAATCAGAGTGCAAGCATCCGCAGAGCCTTTTCATATGGCGAACAAATGGGCTTGAATGGAAGGGTCAGGTTTGTGATAGAACCAAATGGATCAGGCTGAACTCACAAACAAGAGACCTTCTAAATATCTGTTTGAACATGAAGGAGAAAGGAAGAAAGGCAGGTCCAGATGAGCTTAAGTAAAGGAAGAGGGTGGTTCAAATGGATTTTAACTGACTTATTTTTATAAATGGATGTTGGAGACAAAAATATCCCTGGCACAAAGATGTCCATGTCATCTTGAACTTGAAAGGAAATTGTAAGTGGTGACTGAGAGGCTCTGCAAGTCCTGGCATCTCAAAGTTCTGCTTGTTCTTGAGATAAACAAAATTACCATAAGTCACTATTCATTCTCCCTTTGAGAGGCCAGTACAAGTCTGGCTTTGTTTGTTTGTTTGTTTGTTTTATGATGTGCAATGCTATAATAATGAGGATGTGAGTATGGAGGGAAGAAACTGGAAGGGCACTGGTGCTGGTAGTGTTGGTGGTAGAAGGGTGGACAGAAAAGAAGGATTGGTTATTACAATGTGAAGGAGAGCAAGAATGGTTAAAGCTTTAAGGTTTGCAAAACTTTCCTCCTGGGATATGGTTTTGAGAGACTTCTTTTAGCACTTCTCCCTCTGAGCTGCTGGCATATCATGATGCCTTTTGCCTAAGTTGTTGTCAATAGACACTTTGTGTCTTTAACACAAATAGACAATGTGTCTTTAACACATGACTGTGATGACCCTAGGGAAGACATGACACTAGAGGGTGTAGGGGAGGATGCATTATCACAGGATCAGTTCTATACATCACATTCATGCAAAGCAGGCCTCCAAGAACACCAACCTTGTGCAATGACAGCATGAGTATTGAAACATTTTGTTTTTAAAACATGTGATGTGACTTTTGCCGTCAACGAACAAGGCTAAATGATATACTGCTCACAGCCTGCTCCTCTTTTTCTTTGTGATGAAAAGGACTGCAAAATAAGATTTTAAGTATTTACAATCATCTAATAAAATGCTTCATGAGTATTTATGAGGTACTTCTTTAACAGGATAAATTATAATATTAATCAAAATCAAGACTGCTACTTGGAATTCTTCTTAAACCCAGATCATAGACAAAGCTTTGCAGGTATTTCCCAATTCATTAATTCTCAGTTGTTTATTTCATTCTTTCTGCATGTACAAGAATGCAGCTATTTGACAGGAAGTCAAACAATCTTAATATGAATTGCTCTTTGCTGGTTTATTAGCTAAATCATGATGACTTGGGATATTGTTAATAATAAATAAAATATCTTCTAAGTGAATATACATGAATGCAATTTCATTATGTTACGATTTCCTCTCTGTTCTGTGATTGAGACCCCAAGGGAGGCAAATCCGTACATCACAGTTAATTCTTTGCACACCCTTCTTTCTCAGTCCTTCCCTCTTTCACCAATCAGCCCACTCTTGAAGTCATCCTCACAGGGTTAATCAGAATTCTAGACAGAAATATATTTATAATTAAGCATTACTTAGACTACACTTTGACCCACTTCTTTGTAACTGAAAGTCACAGGAACACCAGATCTTGACCACGTGTATTGTCACTATTCCTAGAAATAGGATCCTGACATTAGAATCATAAGGCTTTTGTTTAAGAATTGCTTCAGATGCTTTTCAGATCCTGAACTCCAGCAGAATAGCTGATACTATCCAGTTTGAAGACCCTCACAGAGGAATGAAATCAGCATGATAATTCAGTTTCTTTATCTTCCTGTCCCATGACTTCACCTTGCACCCTTCGACCAATCAACAGTCTCCACACTTTGGCCCACTCCAAAATCATTCAAAATTCTAGCCCCAAGCTCTTTGGGGAGGTGGATTTGAGGTCTCCTCCCATCTCCTCATTTGGCAGCTCTACAATTAAACCTCTTTCTCTCCTGCAACCTGGTGTCTTGGTTTATCGCCTTGTCGTGCACATTGGGCAATGAACTGATTACAGTTCTACTCTTAGAAGGGTAGGGATTGAGGCACAGCATTTTAAGGGAGTGAAACAGACCATTCAATGGTTTGGGGAGTTAGAAACCTAAAGGCATCCTTATTTTAAAATCATCTGTATTAGACCCAGAAAAAAATATCAGGAAGGAATTAGGTTGCTTTAACTTTTTGAAGCCCCATCTGATAACATATAAAATGAGTGAATATTCTGCAAGATTTGTGAGAAACCATGCAATAATTTATATGAGAATAAATTTTCATTTTGTTTTATTTGAACCCTAAGTTGTGTCAGCAAAATTGGTTTTATATCTAATTGAAATCTCACAAACAATGTTTACGACTTACATAGTTTTTATTTTATCCCACAGCATTATCACTGTTAAAGCCATCACAAGTAGAGAAAAAAGGAAAAAGGCAGATTTAAGTAATATGACCTGCCATGCTAAGAATCCTCCTATTCCAAAAAGGCCAGTGACAATGTCAAACTTTATTTGAGCCCTGTGCTCCTGAAAAACAGGGACAACAGGAACAGCCAAGAAATCTTCCCATCCCTTTTGTGTTCCTGGAAGTGCTTAGTGCAAAGGACCCCCCTTTTCCATATGGCTTGCATAAGAGTCAAAGATGACCCCTTGTACCTATGACAAAGCCAGATATATCGATCCTCCAAATTTCCATTCTTTGTCTCACAAGCAATTAGCTGAATGGTTTGTCTCTACTAACCTATCGGGACAAAATGTCCAGTAACTTTACTTATCTAAATTTTAATCAAGTTTCTCTCCTTAACTCAGACCTGTGAACCCTGGCCTATCCTTGAGCATTGAAATAAGGAACAATCTCTCTTTAACAGCCCCTCCTGAGGCTTGGTTGACCTCAGGGAAACACATTCCCTAACAACTGTCCAGTCACATCACCCTCATATACCACTTCCCCACACCTAATATTTTCTGGCCTTGTTTTAAAAGGGTACCTGAGATTTGTTTCAATCAGGTATGATAAAATACACAGGCATGAAAGTGACTGGCATTGAAAGAAGTCTTTTCCAGTCATTGATCCCAAAAATCAGGAGGCACAGAAGGACATTCAGGGCCATATGAGGGAGCACCAGGGTTCATCAGGAGGCAGAGGAAGTGGGGGGGGTGATATGGTTTGGCTCTGTGTCCCCACCCAAATCTCACCTTGAATTGTAATAATCCCCACATGTCAAGGGTGGGACCAGGTGGAGGTAATTGAATCATAGGGGTGGTTTCCTTCATGCTGTTCTCATGACAGTGAGTGAGCTCTCATGAGAGCTGATGGTTTTATAAGCATGTGGCATTTCCCCTGCTGGTACTCACTCCATCCTGCTGCCCTGTGAAGAAGGTGCCTACTTTACCTTCTGCCATGATTGTAAGTTTCCTGAGGCCTCCCAAGCAATGCAGAACTGTGAGTCAATTAAACCTCTTTCCTTTATGAATTACCTGGTCTCAGGCATTTCTTCATAGCCATGTAAGAGGGGACTAATACAAGGGGAAACCAAGAACAAAAGCCGTTATTTTGGTTTCTGCAGGAAGAAATGGGGAGGCAGGGTAAGCAGGTGTAGAGGTGGCTAATCTGAATAATTTCAGCAGACTCTGCAGCATGGTGGCTGTCCCTGTTTGTCTGGTTCCTAGTCCTGGGGTGATTAGGTCAGAGGAATAGCAGCCCATGGGTAAAGCCCTGTGAGATATTAATAAAGGAGGTGGTGAAGGTATGGGCTCCAGATTGGTTTTCTTGCATATGAAAAGTGTGTTCATTAACATGTGAGTTGTTTACTGTCTCTAGGAATTGGTTAGCTCTGGGAGAGCCAATCCCTCCAGGGCCAGCAAGGGCCCAACTGTCAAAGCATCAAAAATACAGAATGCAAAGACATGATTTGCCTTATAAACATGATTATTAAGCACTAATTGACTCCTCTCTACAAAAGAAAAGATAATTTTGCCTGACCTCTGGGATCTTTGCTGATATCATGGTCACAATAGTCTCCCTATTGCTATTAATATAATCCCCCTTTCTTTTATTTCAATAACCTTTTGAATAAAGTGTCTCTTTACCCATGTCTGGATTTCTTTTTTATTCAGTACTAAGGAGACTGACCATTAGGTTCAGCTTAGTCACTTTAGCGGGTTTCGGAGGTGTGGTGGGTTATGGCGGATGGGCCCAATGCAGGTCTGTATGAGATTGAGCCTGCTGCCTTATGATTTATCAGAAGAAAATCTTTTATTTTAAAGAGTTTCATCAGAGTTAGTATATTGGTTTCCTATTGCTGTGTTAACAAATTATCAAACATGTGGTGGCTTACAACAATACAAGTGTATTATCAAACAGTTATGGAGGTCAGGAGTCTAAATTAATCTCACTGGGTATCAGCAAGTTCCTTCTGGAGGCTGTAACCATTTTCAGCTTCTAGAGGATGCCCCCACTCCTTGGCATGTGGCCCCCTCCATCTTCAAAGCCAGCAATGGCCAGTTAAGTGTCTCTTATATTGCATCACTCTGCCTCTTCTGTCTCTGTCTTCCACTGTTAAAGTACACTTGTGATTACAGGGGGCCCACCCAGAAATTCCAAAATAATTTATTTATTTATGTATTTATATGATTTTAGAGATAGGGTCTCCCTATGTTGCCCAGGCTGGTCTTAAACTCCTGGCCTCAAGCAATCCTCTCACCTCAGCTCCAAAAGCGCTGAGATTACAAGTGTGAGCCACCATGCCCAGCCTATTTAAATTCAGTTAATTAGCAACCTTAATTCCATCTGCAACCTGAATTTCTCTTTGCCATATGATGTAATGTATTCATGGTTTGCAGGGATTAGAACGTAGACATCTCTGAAAGACCAATTATTCTTGTTATATTCTGGCAAAAGTGCCCTATAAATGCTGGCCTATTCAGCCCCATCAAGGTTGGCCTTACTTCTCCACCAAATGAAAAATAATCTGAGATGTTCCATTGAAATAACTATTGCATAAAGGAAATCTGCAAATATTAAAAATTATTTCAACAGAGAAAAATGGCATAGGTCTGGCTCATCCATTTTGAGATTTAATGTCAGAAACAGAATTTTGATTGTATTATTTATAGAGTTTTATAGATTCATACAGTACAAATGAATTAAAAAGTGGATTGTTGCATGGGCAGGAACCTAGCACTTGCCCAGGTTTCCTGCCTCAGTTTCAATATTCGTTTCCATGTAATCACTGTAGGTACTTCAACATCATTGACAGAGCAAGAGTTTCATGAAACAGAAACAGAAAGTGACAGAGTTGGAATTTGATCACAGGTCCAGCTGTGAGAACTTGAGTCAATTACTGAAAAATGATGATATAATTATCTATCATGAAATATTTTGTGGTATTCATGAAGATAAATTTAAGTATATTATATTAGAAAATTTAATCTACGTTACCTTTTCAAAACTAATAATGAATTTCATACGTAAAAATGATTTTTACCCTCAAGCTCCTTGTTTCTCCCACCTGAACCATTATTTTTCTTTTTTTTTCTTTTCTTTATTATACTTTAAGTTCTAGGGTACATGTGCACAATGTGCAGGTTTGTTAAATATGTATACATGTGCCATGTTGGTGTGCTGCACCCATTAACTTGTCATTTACATTAGGTATATCTCCTAATGCTATCCCTCCCCCCTCCCCCCACCCAGGACAGTCCCCAGTGTGTGTGATGTTCCCCTTCCTGTGTCCAAGTGTTCTCATTGCTGAGCCATTATTTTTGTAATTGTGTTTCTGCTTTCACTCCCACCTATCTTTAATCCACTTCACCAACTGGATTTAAAATATGATAAAATTTAAAATTTAAATTGAATCATGTTGTCCTTGGTTAAATTGCTTAGTGATTTGACATTGCATATTACCTTATCTAAAAGGACACATTAATCCATTAATTCAATTAACATTTATTATCTTAGTCTTTTTCAAACAAGTTAGTGAGCAAGCCACAATTCCAGAACTCACAGATTTCAGAAAATGTATCTATTTTCTCCACTAAAGAGTCAATTATAGTCCAAGGCCACACCAACCTCCACTCACCTGATCTCCACCGTACTCTGAAGAGTCAATTATAATCTAAGACACTATGACTAGAAAAAAGTGTAGAAATAATGAGCATAAAGAGTGCCTGCATAAACACCTTTATATGGGTGTGCATGTGTGAGAGAGAGAGAGACGGCTAACAAATCATGTTACATGATATAAAAACATGATAGAGACCCATAGGAAAATAAAGGGCTTAATCAATTCAACGTGCATAGCAACACTGCACTTCAAAGTAACTCTCCTCAGTAAGGCTGAAGACCCTTCCTTTAGCTGTAGTGCCTGTGGATTCCATTATTGTACGTTTTCCTTTTGGTAAAGGGATTATCTGATCAGTTTTCTAAAACAGGCATTTTTTCTTGTAACATGATTGGTTTTAAGAGCTCTTCTACTATTTGGTCAGAAGCTTCAGGCAATATCACAAAAGCTATAACTGAAAGGTGACACAGAAGATTAAGTCACTTTTTACAGGTGTCTGGGCACTTTTTACGAAAATGTTGATTCCATATTGTCTTCCTCAAAGGAATCCTAAAAAAAATTTTTCATACCAACATAAAACCATGTGGTGTAGGAGAAAGGAAATGGACTTTGAAGAGAAATGACTCCTATTTTAGCTCTTGCATTAACAAGTTGCATGGACTTTGGCAATTAATACCCTTTCTGAATCTCTTTTCTCACCTTTGTACAGATAATGTCTGCATGAAAGGCTTTTCTTAGAAGGTTTAAATATGTCCTACACATTGCTTAAGAAACACCCAATCCATTCTCTTCTACCTCTACTCCTTATTTGAATTATTTGGATAATTTTTTATAAGTTGGCCCATATTTGGGAAGAAGAGTCTGGAATTCTTACAGAAATTCTTACAAGCCTAGAAATTTCTGGATGGTATATTCTAAGAAACGAATTATTTCAAAATATTTTTATTTCACCTATTTCCAGAAGGATTTTCAGTAGCTAGAACTCTAGTTTTAAATTTAAAAAATGCTTACAATCAGGAACCATAATTATTCTTTTTTTTTGTTTTTCTTAATTCTCAGTACTTAAGTCAGTGCCTGACACATGGAAGGCAGGCCATAAACAAGCTGATAAAATAGCAAAATCATGTTATGAACAGAACTGATAGAATAAATATGGAGGTAAATAAAAATAAAATTAAGACTAAACTTATCTATCACATATGTGGTAATCAGGAGTATTAGACTAAGAACTGTCATTATCATTATTGATATATTTTATTATTACTATATTATTTTACAAAGCACTTAATACAAGTTAATAACCATAACTGTACTTGGCTTTTTTTCTAAACTTCTTTTATGAGAGATGAAGCAATCTGGATTCAGTAGTTCTCATTATTCTTTGGGATGAGAGACATATATTATTTATCTGAAGAAGAAACTGAAAAAAAATTCAACTCAAGATATCCTCTCAAAACAGAGCATGTTGTCATTACATTATTAGTTTGGTGAACAAGGCCAATTGCTACTCAAAGCCTTTTTATAAGCAACAGTATCCAGAAATATATATATGTCTATAGTGGCCAAGGTCAAGCTTATTATATTAAAATCATGTATGATATCGGGGGAAATTCAGCCAGATATCGGGCAAAATTCACACCTGATATTTCCCGTAGGTTATTTTCTATTTTCCCTAAGTGTCAGCTCGTCTGAGAAATGGAGGGAAAGAGTATAAAAGAGAGAAATTTTAAAGTCGGGTGTCTGGGGGAGATATCACATGTCAGCAGGTTCCATGATGCCCCGCGAGCCATAAAACAGCAAGTTTTTATTAGTGATTTTCAAAAGGGGAGGGAGTGTATGAATGGGGTGTGGGTCACAGAGATCACGTGCTTCACAAGGTAATAGAATATCACAAGGCAAATGGAGGCAGGGCGAGATCACAGGACCATAGCACTGGGGCAAAATTAAAATTGCTAATGAAGTTTTGGGCATGCATTGTCATTGATAACATCTTATCGGGAGACAGGGTTTGAGAGCAGACAACCGGACTGACCAAAATTTATTAGGCGGGAATTTTCTCATCCTGATAAGCCTGGGAGCGCTACGGGAGACTGGGGCTTATTTCATCCCTACAGCTTTGATTATAAAAGACAGCCACCCCCGAAGTGGCCATTTTAGAGGCCTACCCTCAGGGACGCATTCTCTTTCTCAGGGATGTTCCTTGCCAAGAAAAAGAATTCAGCGATATTTCTCCCATTTGCTTTTGAAAGAAGAGAAATATGGCTCTGTTCTGCCCGACTCACCAGTGGTCAGAGTTTAAGGTTATCTCTCTTGTTCCCTGAAGGTTGCTGTTATCCTGTTCTTTTTTCAAGGTGCCCAGATTTCATATTGTTCAAACACACATGCTCTACAAACAATTTATGCAGTTAACGCAATCATCACAGGGTCCTGAGGCGACATACGTCCTCCTCAGCTTACGAAGATGATGGGATTAAGAGATTAAAGTAAAGACAGGCATAGGAAATCACAAGGGTATTGATTGGGGAAGTGATAAGTGTCCATGAAATCTTCACAATTTATGTTCAGAGACTCCAGTAAAGACAGGTGTAAGAAATTATAAAAGTATTAATTTGGGGAACTAATAAATGTCCATGAAATCTTCACAATTTATGTTCTTCTGCCATGGCTTCAGCCGGTCCCTCTGTTTGGGGTTCCTCACTTCCCAAAACATCTCTCCCTTTTTTTTTATATAAATGTGCCATGGCGATGAAGGTTTGTTCGTTCTCTCGATTTTGATGCAGGATTCTTTGACTGGTCTGGCACACTAAAAACAAACCGATTAAACAGAGAAACGTAATTCCAAAATTTACTACAGTGGAGCCCCAATAGACTTAATTCAAGTCGTGGGGTTTAATCCATAAAGATTTTCTGCCACCTGATCTAACACCTCAGCTCCAGGCACAATGGATAAGTGAGCTTGAGAGGCTTCAAAAATTTGTTTCTTTAAGTTAGTTATGTCCAGTGATAAATTATCTTCCCTACCCAGAAGGTGTCATTTGACCATTTCCCATGAATGATCAGTCTCGTTATAGGAATATGGGGTGATACAGAAATCTGAAGTATTCCAGTTGCACTCCATTTGCATGCGATGTTCCAGACTCCCCACCGAATCTCCAAGCCAAATAACAGACTGTCTTAAATCATTAATTTGATTTGTCAATTTTTGATCGATGCCTTGTTGAGAATTCCACGTTTGGGTGGAATTGGCTTGCCAATCATTAACAAAATGAGACATTTGAATGGATTGGTGTAATGCCATTCCGGCAGTGGTGGCCATTGCAGTGACTGTAATTAGGCCCATGGTAACAGCGATTAAAGTGAAAACAAATCTCTTAGATCTTTTTAGAATTTGCTGTAACACTTCATTTAATAAATGTATTGAATGGGATGATTCCCAAGGTCTGGGCAAAGTTATCAGAATCCAGATTCCTTCTCAAGCTTGAACCAACATTACACATTTCCTGGAGTCAAAATAGGAGTTAATACAAGTGTATAAATGACAATTAATGCATTGGGCAGTTTGATTGTTTGTCCAAATTTTGATATTTCCCACTAACAGCATGTAAGGAGGCTTAACACAACTCTGTATGGAAACAGGTTGGATTTAAGTAAAACAGAATATCTGGATCTACGTTGATACTGAGAGAGGGGGACGGTAGAGGGGACAATAGACAGAATAGTTTCCCCTTCCCATACTCGCAGTCCAGACATGGCAATAGCCAATTTCCAAAGTCCTGGGTGTTCTGGGCTCAGAATGGGGAGTATCATACGAGGCCTGGGGTAGGGGGTAGTAATGCCTTTATCTTCCCATTTTAAGGGAAAGAATGAGCTGAACCTTCTATGCAACATAGAATGATGATTCTCATTCTCCCAATAAGAAATAAAATAAGTAGCCTCCAGACATTCCCTTCCACCAGAGGAGCAATTGTTTTTTAAATAGCCCTTTGGTGCCCAGTCTATTACTAAACCATATGAGTCATTTTTAAATATTACTGCATGTGAGTTAACACAATCTTCCCAAATTAAAGTTTTAGATGGGCCCTCAAAATTTTTAGGGCATGGTTTTCCTGCAGGTTTATATTAAAAGTATGGGGTATCTCCCATTACTCCCCCTTTCATTTGTTTTAAAGGAGAAAGGGAGAGGTCAGAGACCAAATGTCCCAGTTTATCTGTAGCTGATCTTTCCAGAGGATAAGCAGCCCAGACTTGAGTTTCTAGATGGATATAACCAGGTGCATGTCCGAGGCACAGAGGGGGGTATTTATAACCCATGGTAACATTAAATGCAGTGCCTTCTTCATGCAACAGTCATCTGTAGCTCTAGGCATCCACACACTTTTGTTAGTGTAGATTTCTGCAGGAGCATCAATCCAGGTGAGAGGTCGAATAAGTGGAGGAAAAGGCACATAAGCCCAGTAAGAATAATTATGTGTAGCAGGTAAATCAGTGTAAGAGGAAACTGGTGAGACAGAAAGTATAAGGAGGAGAATCATTAAATAAAACCTATTGTAAGCGAGATTGAGTGTTGAAGGAGAAAGAGAACAGAGGGATGTTATTTTCAGGCTAATAGAAATGGTCAGATTTTTTAGGTTTGTAAGGAGAAAGAGAAAGGTAATCGGGAGAAGTGGGATTAGTTAGATGGGTCTCCATTGCCATCAGGGAGGATTGATCAGACCCATTGTGATTTGGTGTGCCTGCTTCTGAGGAGTTGGCACAGATTTTACCACGTCTGAGGGCAGTCTCTGACATAGACATCTTTTCTCTGTGGTTTTCTTTTGATGATCTGGTGAAACACAAGCATATCCTCTTTTCCATGTTAAATAGAATGAGAGACAATATTTAAAGGTTTGGGAAAATCCTGTAAGGCAGTAATTACAGCAATTAACTCTGCCTTTTGAGCAGAGGTATAAGAGGTAGAGATAAGTTTGTCTGTAGGTCTTAAATAATTAATGTTACCCAAAAGTTTTGGAAGTCATTTAAAGTTTTCAAAGAATTTCTCCTAATTTGAACTTTTTGAGGTTGAATACATCTTTCTCAGGGATGTTCCTTGCTGAGAAAAAGAATTCAGCGATATTTCTCCCATTTGCTTTTGAAAGAAGAGAGGTATGTTTCTGTTCTGCCCGGCTCACCAGTGGTCAGAGTTTAAGGTTATCTCTCTTGTTCTCTGAACATTGCTGTTATCCTGTTCTTTTTTCAAGGTGCCCAGATTTCATATTGTTCAAACACACATGCTCTACAAACAATTTGTGCAGTTAATGCAATCATCACAGGGTCCTGAGGCGACATACGTCCTCCTCAGCTTACGAAGATGATGGGATTAAGAGATTAAAGTAAAGACAGGCATAGGAAATCACAAGGGTATTGATTGGGGAAGTGATAAGTGTCCATGAAATCTTCACGATTTATGTTCAGAGATTGCAGTAAAGACAGGCATAATAAATTATAAAAGTATTAATTTGGGGAACTAATAAATGTCCATGAAATCTTCACAATTTATGTTCTTCTGCCATGGCTTCAGCCGGTCCCTCCGTTCGGGGTTCCTGACTTCCTGCAACATCATAACACATCTACAAGGAGCTTGTATAACATTACCTCGACCAAGTAACTTTTTGAAGCCGTAATCTGGTCTAATTCGGTACTGTGAGAAGCTAGAGGATTGAATAATTCTCATTCCTTCAAATTGAGTAAAGCCACAACTAATTTTGTATCAACAGAAAATTCCCCGTCATCTTGAACTGAGTTGTCTAATTTCTGTTCTTGCAGTGTCCTGGTCGTGGGCCCAGTGTCCATGCTTCTTGATTATGTCCCCTGTCCCACAGTGTAATTCTAATACTACGAGGCTTGCCTGCTACTGAGCTCTCTCTCTGCCTGGTTCTTCCTGTAATAATGAATAGTTTCAAGTTCACCTTAATTTCCTACATATAGGATTCCTAGGTTTGATCTTGAGGTTGGCAGGGATCCTGAGTGTGTCCTTCCTGTAATAATGAATAGTTTCAACTTCACCTTAATTTCCTACATATAGGATTCCTAGGTTTGATCTTGAGGTTGGCAGGCATCCTGAGTGTGTCTATACTTGGTTCCTCCTTTTCCTTATATCCAGTTCTCTCCTCAGCTCATTCTAACACACTGGACTTTGTATATAGCTATGGCTCCCTACATCAATGCCCACTTGGAAGTTTTAAAGCATCTTTGACTAATGCTACATGAAGTTAAACTCATTATTTCTACTAAATAAAACCAGACAAGAGCACATTATCCCATCTGTGCTGCTCTCCCTCCATTCCATCCTCGGTGTATTTCTAGAATTTTTTTTTTTAATTGTAGCAATGGGAATCTACTATGGAATCTTAACTACATACATACAATTTGTATTTTTCTGACCATAATATTTATAGACCCAAGGGCTTGCATGGCCTTTCTGCAAGTGGCACCACATTACTCTTGGCTTTCTGCTCAATAGTGATTTGCCTTTCCTATCTCTAAGCCTTTTTGTGTGTTAATTCCTTTATGTGGAAAGACTCTTCCCCACACTCACCTTTAACTCATGATGATCTAGTAACTGTTTTCAAGATATTAGCCCAAACTGTAAGAACATCTTGCAGAATTGCCTTATCAGGTCCTATTCTTCTATGATTTGCTCTCAAAAGTCAGTATCTGTTTCCTTTCTGACATGTACCAGAATATTATATATGTGTGTGTATGTGTGTGTATACTATATGTATGTGTGTATACTATATATGTTTGATTAAAATATTAAACACATATTTAATTAAAATAAAATATAAAATAAATATATATTTAATTTCAGTGCCTGTCATCTGCACTGGACTATGACATCCATTAAGGGTAGGATATTTTCTGTCTTCTTCACGATTGAATCCCCAGTGTCTTGTACACTTTCTGGGACAAAGTTAGCACTCAATAAATACCTGTTGGATAAATAAATGTTACTCAAAAATAACCAAACACATTTAAAACCATTGTATACAATTCTAAAGTATAATTTACAAGGAGGTTAAGTCATGACTCAAACAAATATAAAATGATAATCTGTCACAGATTATGATACATTAATTAATGGGAGAACCAGTAAGATGCTAAAATTAGGCTTAAAGGTTAATCTGAAAGACAAAAGTATTATCAGGCAATCAGGGATGCTAAAATAAATGTAATAATAGATGAAAGACTGGCTAAAATCCCATAAGGTAATAAAATACAATGTTTGGCATCATTTTTTCTACAGATTGGATAATCATTTATATTGTTTCAGGACTATGCTCATTTTTATTGTTATAGACAGTAATCATTTATATGATATTGTTTTCTTCAACTAAACTTCTACTCACTATAGAGCTACATATTATAGATGAGTCAATAAGAAAGATAATCAAAGGTGTTTACCCTACAGAATCAGCTAATCCCCCAGGGGGGCCCCACCCCTCTGAGAGAATAACCAGTAATCTTCCTTGCCCTTTGACAAGTATTTGACACCTTTTCCTAAAAGGAAAACCAATCTATTCACTTCTGTAAAATTTACTTATTATATTCTCACCCCATCACCAGAAGCCGAGACTACTATTTGAATAAAGCTATTGTTACCCCTGGTAAAGCTTAATCTTTAGATCCCCAATCCAAGAAACTGTCTCTTAATCCAACTGCCAAAAGGTATTCGAATCCTTTTGTATTAGGTAAAAACTCAGAGCATCCATATAAAGGATTTTGTTAGAAAATGTCATGTAATTTATCCACTATTTCTCTTATCACATTTGTCTCTTTTTGGGTGGCAAGGCTGACAGTATTGACACAGTCAAATCTACGTTTCTCACTTACATAAATGTTTCACTGAGTCTAGTCAACTGATCAAACAAGACGTGGTTATATAAATCATTGCAAAAATATTTTTATGAAAATGAAAATGAAAATGAAGGTGAGAAGGGTTAATTCTCCAAAAGTACTGTGGCACAATGGAAACAACAATAACAAAAAGAACAATTCAAACCAGAAGGAACACAGCTCAATTTATGCAAATGGGTGGTTGTGTGATGATTAAACAGTGGAAGTAACCCGCTGAAGGTTATACTTTTAAGAAGCAATGGAATTTGAACCCCTGTGCTTGACTCCATGCCCAAGCTCTTAACACTTTACTAACATAAAGAACATTAAAAGGCAGTATGATGTAAGTAGACTTGGAGAGAGAACATTTATGTTCCTATCCTGGTTGTTCCCCAACCTAGCAGGTGGCTTAAGGAAAGTTACTCCAGCACTGTGTGCTTCAGGTTTCTTGTCTTTGGAAGGGCAATGGTAATAACTCGTGACTCACTGTTAGGGCTATGGCGAGGACTAAATACTTGAACACATGTGGGGACCTCAGAGTAGTTATTTAATAAGTATTAGTGTTATACTTATTATTTTTCAACTTTTTATTAATAGCATTTCAAGAATAGTGAAATTCTTCCATAGTAGGAAAGATCAAGAACTGAAAAATCCTTACAAATACTGGAAAAACAATGTTATTTGCATGAGCATTAGTGACAATTAAATGATTTTTTAATGTCTCCCAAACATAAACAAACAAACAAATAAAAACCCACCTTTCCTTATATAGCTGCTTTTACTTTCTTCCTCTGGCTGCTGCTTCTTCATCTCTGAAGTGAAGCCTTTATCAGCAAATCACGTCCGGAAGCTCCGCAGACCAGGAGCTCATTGTGTAGAACCCTAGTTTTATACTCTCTCATCTTAACCCTGAGGACAGAAGTTTCAACAACAATTGCTGGAATAAAACGAACAAGTCAACAAACTGAATGTTCAAAACCTGTGTGTTGGCTAGCAGACTTAGCAAATGAGTATAGTCACCACTTCATTTCTTAAGTCAATAGGCAAAAATTTGTTATGTATGTTGTCCTCAACGTCCATAGCTTGATTTATGATGATTTTTTCAGGAATAAATTATTAACCCAATGTCTTATTTGGTAATTTGTTTATGTTCTAAAACCATAATGCATATTTATTAATCTACTCTGGCACACAAAGATAATCAGTGTATTCTAAGTCATTATAGAAAGAAAATGCCTTAGCATATGAAAAGAAAAATTTTAATCAGAGGGTAAGAGAGCAACTGAAATAAAGACAAATACGTGAATTAGATTAATCAGATGCTTTAATTATAGTTTGTAAACAAATATAAGCCTTTTAGTAGGTCTTGTATTTCCATGGACCTCAGTATCCTCATCTTAAAGATTAAATTACACGTTGCCTCCAGTTTCTTGAAGTTTAAATAATTTATCGTTTTATAAAATACATAAGCTATCCAAAGATTTCTCCCACACAAATACACACTCCCTCCTAGTCTTAAGCCTAAGGTAGGAGGTCCACCCTGCCTTTGTCATTTGGGAAGTGGTTCTGGTTCTCATCAGAAGAGATAGTGTGGGAATATCTCGGCAAGTGTGAGGAGGCTTATCTATTGTTGCCCCCAAGAACTCTCTGTTTTTTTATGTTAACTGGATTGCCCACTTATAAATCCAAACAAGGCTGTGCAGATGTCAGCTCAGCCAATAGCTAACCTCTCCTTTTTGTCCAACTATTAATAGAATGAGAATTGAGTCACATGAGTGAACTGACTGTATGTATATATAGAAAGTATTAAAATAGGGAGCATAAGGCTTATTGCTAATACTTTTTTGAAGCCACCAGAAGCTGGGGCCCATCTCTGTTCATATGTGTGAGATTTCTGCAAATAAATCCCTTTTTCAGTTATGAGAAATAAATATCTCCTTGTTTGGCTGGTGGTTGTTACTTTTCCTTTGGCTTTTGACAAGTTTATAAATGCAGAAACTAACATCGTCTCCAAGAGAGGTAATTTGTCAAATATTAGGATTCATATCAAGGCAGTCCTGAAATAATAAAAATATATACTATATTCACATAAGCAGTCACATAAAAAAGCTAGATTTTAGGCAATTGATGCTGAAAGCATTCACAGTATTTTCACGTGGTGCATGTAGCTACCTTTTCTAAGACAGCCTTCTTTGATGAAGTTGGTGGCGTCTTGCGTTTCTGCTATTACAAAGTCAAATGATTTGCTATTGATTTTGCTTTGAACCTGAAGTAATGATATGGTGCTGGCACACACTATAATGAATGTGGATAGGAGTGTTGCCCCAGGCTTTATTCTCAGAATAAGCCTTTTTCCCATGTAGCCAATGTGGGTTTTTTTAAAAATATTAAATAAATTTGAAAAGATTCATGTTATCTTCTTGTTCCCAGTAAGCCCAGTATTTTCAAGGTGCTATCTTAAGATGAGAGAAAACCCTCAGATGTAAGTAATCCTACTGGAAAGATTATATAGGATTTGGTCTAATCCTTATTTTTTTTCCCACATTTTTTAGCTTTGACTTTCATCAAACTAAATCAGTGAATATGACTAGTATCGAGGATCTTCTTACCTTAATGGACTTTTTAAAACATCAGCTAAAGCTTGTTATATTTCTAATTTAGAATCCTAACTCCCCTTAATGAAAAGTGTTCCTAAATTCTTATCAGATACTTATTTTGAAAAGATTTTTGTAGCTTCAGAAATTTTTTGAGGTAGAAGTGAGAAATATGTTTAATTTATTTGATTGAAATATTATTTAAAATATTTATTTTAAAGCTATATTTTTCTTTCCCTTTGATATATTACAGTTTTTTTTTAAATTTTTGTAAATAAATTCTCCTTTCGCATCTCTGGGTTTAAAGTTTAAGTGGTTTTTGATTTAAGCTGGAAAAATGACTTTTAATTATAATTTAATTTTAGCTAAATTTCATCAAATGTTTACTAGGTACCAGGCTCTTAGGTAAGTAATTCATATAAAAATGTATTTAATTCTTGTAACTCCTCCAGAAGGCAGGTATTCTTTTTCTTTTTTTTCTTTTTGAGACGGAGCCTCACTCTGTCACCCAGGATGGAGTGCAGTGGCATGATCTCAGCTCACTGCAACCTCTGCCTCCTGGGTTGAAGTGATTCTCCTGCCTCAGCCTCCTGAGTAGCTAGGATTAGAGGTGCCCACTACCAATCCCAGGCAATTTTTGTATTTTTAGTAGAGACGGGGTTTCACCATGTTGGCCAGGCTGGTCTCAAACTCCTGACCTCAAGTGATTTGCCTGCCTCGGCCTCCCAAAGTGCTGGAATTACAGGCATGAGTCATTGAGCCTGGCCAAGGGAGGCATTCTTATTATCCCATTACAAAGCAGGGAAACTGAGTCTTCTGGGGCATAACTTCCCTAAGGCTATACTGCTTAACAAGTGGAGAAGGGGGATTTGAACCAGCTTTTTCTAAACCAGCACATCAGCCAGGAACCTAACATAAAAAGACTAGCACAATCTAACTGGGTACTGTTAGGGAGAGTTTCATAAATCTACCATTTACAAAAGTGGGGCAAGGTATAGGGAAATCACTGGGGATAGTGCCACTCCCTCGGACTAGCAAGAACCAGGACTTTTTTTCATTCAGAGGTTTGAAGGTTCAGTGGAAAGAAGTGATTGCTGGAAACCTGAAGTGCTTACTAGAACCTGGGCCCCTGAGAGGAGCTGCCCTTTGGTCAGAGCCCATCCAACTCTTTTTCTCTGATCTCCTGCCTGTGCTTCCAGTCATATGAATCTAAAAAGTAGCCTAAGAGTCAAGGATATAGTCCGTATTCAGCCTAGGAAAACACAGAGCAGAGGGAGAAGTGGGGAGAGGGTACCTGCAGAAGTAAACTGTGGATATTCAACAAAAGTGTGGTGGTCTCACTAATGATCCAAGATGTAACAGTCTCTCATTGTCTGAGATAATGCTAGGAGTTCTTTGTCTCACGTCCAAGATGATTAAGGAGCATGGACACAAGGGTGAGTTTGGAGCAAAAGTTCAATAAGCAAAAAAGAAAGCTCTCCACTAGTGGAGAGTGGGCCCAAATGGGTTGCCTACTATGAGGCTGGGGTCTGGGGTTTTTACGGACTGGGAAGGGGAAGGAATGTGCTTAGTTTGAGGGCTGTCTTGGATAAAATGTGATTCAGCTTGGCCCCGGGACCAATCAGGATGTGAAGTGATGATTAATAGGGGCTACACAGCTTGGCCTAAGACCTTGGCCCAGGACCATTCAGGAGCTTAAGTGATGATTCATAGAGGCCAGGCTCCCAGTCCAAAAAAAAAAAAAAAGGAAAGTGCCCACTGGAGCCCTCTGTGTTCATGCCCACAAAAGGAGACAAAACATTTTCCTAGGAGCCTGCTGATTATACAAAAGACAAAGACCAAAGACATTTCTATGTCAGGCCTGTTCCCTTATCTGAGTGAGCCAGCAGTTTGTGCATGTTTTTATCTGAGTGGGCTGGAGGTTCTCCTATCTGTGCAGCTGCGGGCATGTCTCTAGGCACAAGCCCCTGTGCTAGTTCCCTTATTGGTGCCTGCAGCTTGATTTTTACTCCAGACTGTTTTTTGTGTTATGTGGGGCTGAGGCACCAGCCCATGGGTCAAGGGCTTTCCAGGGACCCTTCCCTTGCTGTCTACCTAAAACAAGCTCACTAACTCCTCTCACTAGTCCTTTCATTGTGCATCTTTGGATGACCTATGTCAAGATTCTAGGGTTGTGAGCAAAAATTCAGATTTCTGAGTCTAGAGGTAATGCCTGGGAGTCTGCATGACAAGAGTCATAGAATTTTATATAAGATTGTATATAACTTCTCAGAGAAGACTTGAAGAAAGTAGCAAAAATAACCTTTAGATTTCAAAGGAGCTATTAAGGCATGAGATGTTTAAAAATGCTCAAGCAAGAGAGACCAAGGACTAATGAATGAAACTTACAGGATGATAGGTATCTGTTTAACATAAGGAAGAACTATTTTGTGACCTAAGCTGTCGATCTATGGATGATAATACAAGAGCTGTTTCTGTTATTAGAGGTGTTGAAGCAGTAAATGTTTGATGAGATAATAAATGTAAAATGCTTTGGAAAATGTAAATTTAAATGATGATAATGATGACAACAATGATGAGGAAGACAGCTGAAATAGTTTATTTGCAATGAAAAACTGAACTGTAAAATTTTAAAGATGTTAATAGTGAAGAAAGGGAACAACTATAAATATACTGGCAGGTATCATCCAGGTATCATACCAAGTGCTTTATGCTGCCTTATCTAATGGGATCTGCAACAACCCTGGAAGATAAATGTAAGTATCCTCAGTCACAACTGAGGAAAGAGAGGTTTGGAATAATTATGTAAAATGTAGTAAGAACCTAAGGATTTTGGTTTCATAACCTAGATTTCTATGTCGTATGCTGTATTGCCTTTATATTGGGTAGATTGAATTGCTGAATCTCTCACACTTTAGAGTATGGCTTCTGTTATTATCTATTCTAGTTCCAAATCAGACATTCTAAGTATTCTATATGTACTGTATGCACTGTTCTCTATTCTATTGAATACAGAACAGGTAGCCACTAGGTTATATCATTGGTTCAGTACTTGGGATGAAACCTAACCAGCAATCTTGCTCAGAGTCAATAAATAAACAGCTACAAGACATCAATTTATTAAGCTGTGTAATTCTCCTCCACAGTCTGGAATAGGATGAAGAGGTCTCAGTAAGGGTGTAGATCTTTAGGTTTGATAATGCAAAGTTCTAAAGTGTTGAGTGGAGTGTTCAGAAATATCCCCTGAGACATTGGAAGCACTGAGAGCCGTTCCTATTGTTAAATTTAGTTGCCGAACAATTCTTCTGTTTTGACCTTCTTATTTCTCTGTGAGAAGTCAAGCCAGCAGTTCCTAGGATGAGTTCAGATTTCTGTGGAATGTGAGAGCTGAAGATTTTTTGCTTTGCTCATTTCAGCATAATCACTGGAGAGTGATTCATTTGTATAATAAGAGAGCAACTTGAGAGGAAAATGGTCACAGCCTTTAAAGGGCAAGCTCATTTTTGTCTTGTGTTAGACTATGTCAGGAATGAAAGGCTTTTAAATTGTGACAACTGCCTGCCTCTTGCAATAGCATTCGTCACCATTATCACCTTCAGACAAGACTTGGGGTACAAATTGAAAGGCAATTGTAAGATATTTCACAAATTGACTTGAATATTGAAGATTCAATTAGACATATTGCTTTGACTTTGTTTGCATAGCTGTTGAAATGTGTGCTCCGTGAAAAGATTTCAGCTATTAAGTGCCAGAAAAAAGGAGGGAAAAATCCATGTGATGCTTTAAGCCTCTTCACTCATAGCTTTATCATCCAGCCTGTTTCTTTTATAGAAGAAAATTTTTTACACACAAATAAACATCCTGATTAATGGCTTCAGTGAACAGATTCAGCTTTTTGCATTTTTCTCTTGATTGTCCATTTTTGGTCTCAGATTCTCTACAATTTTGGAATGTCTATCTGTCTGTCTATATCACTTTTGTATATGACTTGTGTTTGTTTGCTTTTTTTTTTTTTAAATCTCTCTTCAGAAAAAACTCTAGAAGTATAGAAACTGTCAATGTCATGTACACTGGATATTTGGAGATTGCCTAGCATAGTATTTGGATATTGCCTAGCATAGTGTTAAGGACTCATGGCTTGTAATTAAAATGTTGGTATCAGCCAAAGAGGGCAAAAATGTTGTCAAGATTCAGAATAGAAATACAGAGGTGGTTGGAAAGCTAGATCCTGGAGGCTGAAAAAACAATTCAAACTAGAAATGAGGTCCTCACGTCTCTGGTAGATTTCTCTGGCTAGTTTCCCAGCAGTTTGTACTTCTTCTATTTATCTTCTTCCATGGAGGTCATGACCAGAGCAGAGCTTACTGACAGAGCCATGGCAAAGTTAGAGGACAACATGGATCATCTAGAATAGACCTTGATCTTTCCTAAGAAGGAGAATGAGGAGTTTGTCCATACATTGAATCTGACTTTCCTCAGCTCCAAACTGTGAAACCTAGATCCAACCTCAGCTAAATCATAACATCTAATTATTCCCCAGTGCCTTGAAAACCACAACTATCTCTCTTTTAGAGCTCCACGCATTCCAATTTTCCAAATTTTATCTACTCTTAAAATATAGCTGGAACATCATCTCTAAAGACTAACTTCTCTAACCTTTAGAGCAGACAAAATCACTATTTTGTCTAAAGCTAAATTCTTTATTCTCTTATAATACTTACTACCATTTCCTAAATAATTTATATGTTTCACAGGAATGCATTTCTCTTTGAATGCATTTCTCTTAGAATCCCCATAAGTCTCAGTGTGGTGCTAGATATATGGTAGTACATAAAAGATACTCTTCCTTGACCTAATCCTTACATATTGGAGGGATCACCTACTAGGATTTTCCAGGAAGAGAGCAAACAGTCTATCTTTCTCTTCTCAGTCTCAGTTCTTCTAGAAGCATTTCTCACTGAAGGAAGAGCATTCCAGGAAGCTTAGCACTAGGCTAAAAGTTTAGAGTTCATATAATTAACAGCTGATACATGAAAAAAAAATGCCAAGCTGAGAAAAATTTAAAGAAACAAAAGCATTTATTAGATCAAGATGATAAAGGTTGAATGACAGAATCACAGACCATTTTCCTCAAGGCATTGGAAATGAGGTATTTGACCTCTGCCATTTCTGAGACTTGTGGCTGCTCAGAAAATATTTGCTGAATGAATAGTTACATATACAAGGCACTGAGAATATAAGGTACTTAGGAAGATTGATATAAATATTATCTTCAAGTTATTTAGGATAAAAAAGCCCTTTTAACCTTTGTGCTATATATGAATTTTGTTTTGTTTTGTTTCAAATGACAAAGTTTCTGGATCCTTAATGTTCCTGTCAAACTCCTCTACACGGTCTCTAGCTATCTCTGGAAGCTGATATCATTATTGTCACTTTCTACCTTCTCGTAAACTGTATATACAAAAACACTAGAGTCTAGTAAAATTATAGCCTCTTTCCTAAGAGTTCCGTAATGACTTGGGATAGATACAAAATGATTTATACTACTGAGTCTCTGTGGAAACACATCACATCTCATAAGATATTTTTAACATTTTTAAGGAAGAGGCATAGGTTGTGAATCCCAAAGCAGCAACCAGTAGTGATTGGAAGGCAAAGCTATGGGTTTGCAGCAACTGTAAATTGTGTTTTAGGGATCCCAGTGGAGCCAGTAGGAAATGAAGAGGAAAAGTTAGTGTTAAAAATAAAGAGAAAATAAAATAAAAAGGCAGGTGTGATGTGTCCACTTTCAGGCCTGGCACTTTGAAAATGGACAAAAATTATTGCGGATATAAAAAAAGTAAAAAAATCTCTTGGCAAACACCACTGTAAATTTGCAATAAATAAATTCAATAATAAACATTTAAAATACAACTGTGAAAGGAATTTAAATTATGCCTGCTCAAACTTTGGATGGCCTTCCTGATGGGAAAAAATAATTGGCCTTATTTAGAAGATCAAAAGTAATTCCAAATAAATAATTATGCCATTGAGATTAAAGTCTTTGGAGATTATATTCTGAGATAAATTTAAAAATTCATGATGATGTAATTGATTTTTTAGAATTAATTATATATAAATGTTCTTGTTGCCCATTGATCATGTTAGTGAGGCTGCATGATTGGTTGGGCAAGATGCAAATATAAATTAAGGCTATTACTTTACCTCTGTTATTTAAAATTTTATTTTTTACAATATACCAACTCCATGCTGTTTCCTTTATAAGAACAAAAAATGACCAGGAGGAACCAACAAGCTCAAGTAATTAGAGTTAGAGACTGGAACTTTTGTTATATAAGTTTAATAAGAGTCTTCATTTTATCATTGGCTCATGAAGAAATCCAGTTTGGTGAACTTAATTATCCCCTCTGGTGTTTTTCCATATTCTATGCTAAATATTAGGCTATGATGTTATATCATTGAGTGGAACTTCTAGACCATAAAAAATTACTGTAAGCCTTTCAGAATTGCAATTTCCAAAAGGGAAAAAAACATTAATAATAGAAGTATCTAACTGAAGATACTTGGTATTAAACTGGGGGTGCAAGAAATGAAAGGGTGGGTTCATGAACCTTAAATTTCCCAGTGAACATCATTGTACCTAAGTAAACCCTCCTTTCATGAGCCATTTTGTTGAGACATTAGTTTCCGTCTCTACCTTTGTAATCTCAGTTTCAGGCAACCAATTAAAAAACCAGAAGGTTATATAACTGTTACATCAGTAACCAGGTCTGCAGATAATTATGTATTTAGAAGTATAATAAAATATGTGATTAAGGTATGTGGGCTGTGGGGTGCCACTGACTCAGATTCTTTAAAAACATCAAGGAGAATGAAGTTAATTTATTTCAACAACAGACAAGTTCATAACAGAAAAGGAATGCTGCATCTCCCTTCCTTTGATTCCTAATAACAATAAGGAAGAAAGGAAAGATTGTTATTTTGACCTAGCCAGACTTTGAGTTGGCGGGAGACATGAACTAATCACCATCAAAGTTACAGAAAAGAACAAAATGGAGGAAGGAGAAGGAAAGGAGATGGAGAGGATTTGGAGGAAGTTCAGGTGTCACAGGGTGTATTGAAGTTTTGACAAATGGTACTGATAAGGCTTCCATATTTTGTTTATACACATATTCCCAAGTGAAAACAGGGAACGAGTAGATTAGCTTGAAGATTAAAATGAGAGGTAGTGCTCCCTTTAAGCTATATGTGTGCATAGACATATTCAGCGTGGAGACTCTGCAAGGAGAGGGTCTACAATCATCATTGAAAGTTTGATTCTTTCTGAAGTATTAATCACGACAGGGCCAGGACTAGGATAAGGCAAAGAGGGGCCTGGGATGCAGATTTAAGGAGGTGCTTATTCTCAGGGTTGTACAAGTGCAAGATCAATTCTTGCAGAATCAACACCTGCACAAACTTGAGAATGAATGTCTTATTAAGTATTTTACCAGAATTGTCTCCCTTGCCTCATGCTAACTTTAACCTTGAACTGCAGTCAGACTGTTTTATTGCTTACTGTCTTTTTGACTTTGGGTAAGTTATATAATTGCTCTGATAGATCCAGAAAGATAGCAACTTGGGCTGTCAGTTACCTCCGCTCCCTGCGCAAGAGAGCTGACCTGCACATTTTCATGGCTGCCACAGGGCTTCTTTATAAGCCAATGGGCTTCTTTAGCAGCTTACACGGATTGAATGATGCCTCAAAGAAGCCACAATTCTTTTCGTTTTTATCTAAGCTGATATTTAATTTAGGATCAAAATCCTAAAGGAGCAGAGTTAGAGAGTTTTAGGCTTTGGGGTGCTGCCAAATGCCCAGAAAGCCCCTCTGTGTACTAAGGAAATGTGATGAGGTGGTAGATGAGGGAGAAGACAGTGTAGTGTCAGGCTAAGTGCTCTGGTTCTGGAGTAAGCTTGTCGTGATTCAAACCTCACCTCTACCGGTTGGGCAAATAATTTAACCTCCAAGGCTCAATTTCCTTATCTAAAAAACAAAGGCAATAATCTTCACAACAAATTGATATGTATTAAGCGATTAAAAAATTGCATAAAGCGCCTACTCATGACACATAGTTGATTTTTAGTACATATTTATACAATCAAATTTAGTGACCTTTTTCTCCATATAGAATCTAAGTAATTTTGCTAGGTTTATAATAGTATTTACCTTATAAAGTTGTTGTGTAGATTAAAGACAGTAATATATGTAAATCGCCTACCACCTGCCTGCCACATAATAGGCTTTTACTAGCTGTTAGCTATTAGCATTCTTTCTTCTTGGGCAACACTTAGGCAGTCATTTCCACAGTGACTAGCATTATGTGAATATTTAAAAGGCACCTGTTGATTTAATTTCTACCATTTCCAGTTTTTCTGTAGCTATAATCAAATGGAAGAAACCTTGGCACAGTCTGACCATAGGAGCCATTTTGATGAAATAAGTAATCTCTTGTTGTTCAAAGATTTCCATCATTCTTTTTTTCCCTCCATGATATTATTTATTTTTAAAATAAATTTTACTGTATATATTTAAGGTATACAAATGATGTTATGAAAAACATGTAGTAAAAGGATTACTGTGGTGAATCAAATTAACATATCCATCATCTCACAGTTACTCAGTTTTCCCCGTGGTGAGAGCAGCTAAAATCTCCTTTTTTAGCAAAATTCTTGAATACAATACACTATTATTAACTATAGTCCTTATATCATGCATTATTAGATCTTTAGATTTCCATTATTATTCAAACTCTAAATTTCATAAGGAATAATACTCTTTTCCAAGGACAGATACACAAAATGGCCGGCAGTTCTGTTGCTCTTGCCTTTCCAATCCTTGAAGTAAAATCTTACAAAATACTATAGCAGAAGGAGAGTTCCTCTACATTTTTGCTACTTTTGATTTGGTGGAAAAGACACTTCTAGGTAAGAATCGCAATTGCAATATTTTCAACGAAAATTTTAGAAGTCTTCTCTTCAAGTGCACTGAGTCTGGGGTGGAGTTCTAAAGAAATATAGCAAATACCCAATTGATGGAACGTGTCTCAGCCTGAGGGGAGGGTAGAATATTAGCCTGTGCTCAGTTTTATTTGTCTGCAAACCTAGGAATCATACTGAGAGATTCCATTAGCCTTCTTCCTTCTTTAGTTGTAAGGAATAGCTTAAAATTGCTTTTATAAATTAAATGCAGAATGGGGAAGCATTTCATATTTTATTTGGATACGATTTTGAGGTTTTAATTAAATTTTAATATGTTGCTTTTTATATTATATATGAATATATTTAAATTATAATATGATTTATTATTTAAAATAATGTTTCTATAAATATGTGTAGTTCATTGAAATTCATAAAATGAAACATACGCATATGTTCATTCAACATATATTTATGGAGATTCTACTGTTCCAAATGCAATAACAAAATAATTTCTCTCATTTTTCAAATAACTCTCTGAATTGAATGTCTATAAAATGATTGTCTTATAGACTTTTGTGTTGATTGACTGCAACACCAGAGGTCTTTTAGTATAATCTTGACGCATTACACTAAGCTCTATTAAAGCAACCCTAATTTCTGTTGATCTGTATTCTCCTTCCATATTCTTTTTTTGGCTTCTAAATATATTCTTTTTTAAAACTTTTAAGTTTAAGAGTACATGTGCAGGTTTTTTATATAGGTAAATATGTGCCATGGGGGTTTGTTGTGCAGATTATTTAATCACTCAGGTATTAAGCCTAGTACCCATTAGTTATTTTTCCTAATCCTCTGCCTCTTCCCACACTCCATCCTCTGATAGGCCCCAGTGTGTGCTGTTCCCCTCTATGCGTCCATGTGTTCTTATCATTTAGCTCCCACTTATAAGTGAGAACATGCGGTATTTGGTTTTCTGTTCCTGCATTAGTTCATTAAAGATAATGGCCTCCAGCTCCATATTCTTAAGTTAAACACTTTATTTTGAAATAATTGTGAAATCACATGAAACAATGCAGAAAGATCTTGTGTACCCTTCACTCAGCTTCCCCTGATGGTAACATCTGCAATACTGTAGTACAGTATCACAACCAGGATATTAATGTTTATATGGCCCTATCAACACAAGGATCTTTTATGTGTTACCACACCTACTTTTCTCCTACCCCCATTCTCTCCTTAGCCTCTTATAACCACTACTCTGTTACCCATTTTTACAATTTTGTCATTTCAAGAATGTTAATGTAGGTAGGTAATCTTTTGGGATTAGCTTTTATTGTTGTTTCATGTCACATGATTCTGTGCAAGTTTATCTAGGTTGATATGTGCATTGATAGTTCCTTATTTTTATTGCTGAGATTATTTGTGGTCTGGATGTACACAGTTTGTTTAGTCATTCACCTGTTGAAGGATATCTGGGTTATTTCCAGTAACTGGAATAAAAATAAATAAATAAATAAATATTTATAATAAATATTTAAATAAAGCTGCTATAAACATTTGTGTACTGGTTTTAGTGAGACATAATTTCTCATTTATTTGATATAAACACCCAGAAGTGCAATTGGTTGGCCTTATTCTAGTTGCATGTTTAGTTTTTTTTAAAGAAGTTGCCAAACGATTTTCAAGAGTGGTTGTACCATTTTACATTCCCACCATAAATTTATGAGTGATCCAGTTTCTTCACATCCTTGCCATCAGTTGATATTGTCATTATTTTTATTTTAGTCATTTTGATAAATGTGTGGTGGTATCTTATTGTGGTTTTAATTTGAATTTTATAAAGTCTAATGATATTAAAAATCTTTTCATGTATGTATTTGTCATCTATGTATCTTTTTTGGTAAAATATCACTTCATGTTTTTTGTTCATATCCTAATTGCGTTCTTTGATTCTTTACCATTGAGTTTTGAGAGTTCTTTATGTATTTTAGATACTTGTTCTTTGTCAGGTATGTGATTTTGTAGTTTGTGTAGTTTTAACTTGTGCAGCTTGTTTTTTTATCCATTCAACAGGGTATATCACAGGTTTTTAATTTTGATAAAGAAGTCTAATTTATTGAATTTTCTATTCATGGATGGTGCTCATGGTGTCAAGTATAAGAACTCTCTCTTTGCCTAGCCTTCGATCCTGAAGATTTAAGATTTTCTTCTGTTTCTTTTCTTTTTCCAAAAGTTTTATAGTTTTACATTTTACATCAAACTCTATGATCCATTTTTATTTTTTTCGTGTGGTTGAGATTCTGTCTTTTACCTGTGGGTATTCAATTACTCTAACACCATTTGTTGAAAAGGGTAACTTTCTTTCATTAAAATACTTTTTCATGCTTGTCAGATATTAGTCAGGCATATTTATGTGGGTCTACTTCTGCTTTTGCATTCTGTTTCATTGATCTATTTGTCTACTGTCTGCTACACCACATAGTCTTAATTACTGTAACTTTATGATATGTATCAAAATCAGGTAGAACTTTTCCCAATGTATTCTTCTTTTTGGAAATTGTATAGCTATTGTAATGTATTTGCCATTACATATAAATTTTAAAGTAATCTTATATGTACCTAAAAAATCATACTGGGATTTTGAGAGAAATTGCATCAAACCTGTATATAAGTTTAGGGAGAAATGACATACTTACCATATTGAATCTTCCAATCAATGAATATAGTATGTCTTTCCTTTTATATAGATCTTTGATTATATTATTTTTGGCATATAAGTCTTGTATACGTTTAGTTTAATTTGTATTAGAAATGTTATTTTTTGATCAATCATAAATGGTATTATATTGTTAACTTTGAGGCTTTGAATTTATTGCTAGAATACAGAAATGCACTTTATTTCTTCTATTTCCCTTTCTTGCTGTAGCACTGGCTAGAACCTCCAGGAAATATGCTTGCCCCACTCCCACCGTTTTTTTTTTTTTTTTTTTTTTTTTTTGGCTTAGGCGGGAAGCACTCAGTCTTTCTCCACTGAGTATAATGTTAGCTATAGGTTGTTTAATGTGCCCATTATTGGGCTGAGGAATTGAGAAAATTTCTTTCTATTCCTTTTTTTGGGGTTTCTATTATAAATGGTTATTTATGCTTTTTATGCATTGATTGATACAATCATATGATTTTTCTTATTTAGAATGATAATACGGTGGATTACATTGATTAATTTTTAAATATTAAGACAGTCTTTCTTTCTAGGAATAAACCCCACTTGGTTATGGTGTATAATTCTTTTTATGTATTGTTGAATCATATTTGTTAATATTTTAAAGAACTTTTGTATCTATATTTATGAATAATATTGGCCTGTAATTTTATTTTTCTGTACTGTGTTTCTCTGGTTTTGGTATTGATATGGTTTGGGTTTGTGTCCCTGCCCAAATCTCATGTCGAATTGTAATTCCTAATGTTGGGATGAGGGACCTGGAGAGAGGTGTTTTATTTTTTTTGAGAAATATTTTGAGTTTATATTTTGTGAGAAATTGGTTTATTTATTTTAAGTTGTCAAATTTATGTAGAGTTGTCTGTAGTATTTCTTATTATCCTTTTAATATCTGTACTTTCTACAGTGATGTCCATATTTTATTCCCAATATCAGTAATTTGTGTCTTCTCTCTTCTTTCTTTGTTAGGTTTGATAGAGTTTTCTCAATTTTTAAAATATTTTCAAAGCACTGGCTCTTTGTGTTATTAATTTTGTCATTTTCATGTTTTAATCATGTTTCATGGATTATGGGGGCAGACTTCCTCACTGCTGTTCTTATGATAGTGAGTGAGTTTTCATGAGAACTGGTTGTTTAAAAGTGTGTAGCACCTTCCCCTTTCCTCTCTTTTTCCTCTGGTCATGTAAGATGTGCCTGCTACCCTTCACCTTCTGCCATAATTCTAAGTTTCCTGAGGCTTCCCTAGCCATGCTTCCTGTACAGCCTTCAGAACTGTGAATTAATTAAACTTTTTTAAAAATGAATTACTCAATGTCAGGTAGTTATTTATAGCAATGTGACAGTGGACTAGTCCCTCCTTAGCTGTGCTTCCTGTATGGCCTGAAGAACTGTGAGCCAATTAAACCTCTTTTCTTTATAAATTACCCAGCCTCAGGTAGTTCTTTATAGGATTGGGAGAACTGACTAATACAAGTATTAAGGTAATGCTAGTTTCAGAAAATGAATTCTTAAATGTTCTCTCCTTTTCTATTTTATTAGATAAGATTCTGTAGAATTGGCATTAATGCTTTAAGTATTTGGTAGAATTCTCCACTGAAACAATTTGGGCCTGGAGATTTCTATTTTGCAAGTCTTCAAATTAGAAATTCTATTTTCTTAACATTTATAGGTCTTTTCAAGTGATTTGTTCCATACTGAGTGAGTTATGGCAGTTTATATTTTTTGAGAAATTGGTTTATTTATTTTAAGTTGTCAAATTTATGTAGAGTTGTCTGTAGTGTTTCTTATTATCCTTTTAGTGTCCATAATTTCTAGAGTGATGTCCATATTTTATTCCCAATATCGGTAATTTGTATCTTCTCTCTTTTTTCTTTGTTAGGTTTGATAGAGTTTTCTCAATTTTTAAAATATTTTCAAAGCACTGGCTCTTTGTGTTATTAATTTTGTCATTTTTGTGTTTTAAATTTTATTGATTTCTGCCCTTATCTTTATTATTTTTTTCTTCTTGCTTGCTTTGGGTTTATTTTTCTCTTCTTTTTTCTAAGTTTTTGAGGTAGAAGTTCGGATTATTGACCTGGGAATTTTCTTCTTTTGTAATGTTTACATTTACTGCTATACATTTCATTGAATCACTACTTTAGCTGTGTTGCAAAAATTTTGATATATTGTATTTTTATTTTATTGTATTTTTATTCAATTTAATGTATTTTTTGTTATTTCCCTTGGCACATCCTCTTTGACCGATGTGTTTGCTCTGAAGTATTTGGTAACTTTTCTCTTATCTTTCTGTTATTGAATCCTAGTTTAATTCAATTTTGTCAAATAACACACTCTGTGTGATTTCAATTGTTTTAAATTTTTTGAGGTTTGTTTTGTGGTCCAGGATATGATGTACTATGTTATGTATTTCATGCACGTTTGAAAATAATGTGTATCTTGCTGTCACTGTGTAGATAGTTCTGCATATATGAATTCAATCTTGGTGTATTTAAGTTCTTCTGTATTGTTGGTGATTTTCTGTGTAGTTGTTCTATCAATTTTTGATAGCAGGTCATTGAAGTTTCTCATAATTATGAGTATGTTTATTCCTTATTTCAGTTCTACCAGTTTTTGCTTCACCTATTTGCATTATTTTGTTGCTACATACACATTTAGGTTGCTATGTCTTCTTGGTAGATTGGCCTTTTTATCCTTTACAGTGTTCCTCTTACTCTCTAGTAATTTCTTTGCTCTGAAGTCTATTTAATCTGATATTAATATAGCCACTTTTTCTTTCCTTTGGTGATTTTTGCATGATATATATTTTTTCCATCTTTTTACTTCCAGGATGCCTATACAGTTATATTTAAAGTGTGTTTTTTGTAGAAAGTATAAAATTGGGTTACTTTCTAAATATGCATTACCAGCCTCTGTATTTTTCTTTGTGTAGTTATGCCATTTACATTTAATGTATTTATTAATATGTTAGGGCTTAAGTCTACCATTTTGTCAAGGCTTTATTTGTTTGCACCTATTGATGCTTCCTGGATGCTGACTTCTTCAGTTTCAATCCTGGTATAAGTCAGACAAAAAGAAAACCCAGGAAACATACCACCATGTTGTTTCTTGGGTTCTGCAGTCCCTAACTGGTCTTTTTCTTTCCATATTTAGGGTATTGTGTTTGTTTGTATATTCTGCCCAGATTTTTAGTTATATTTAGCAGAAAAAATAGGAAAATGTACATTTATCTCATTTCAGAAGTGAGGTAAGTATGTTAAAAGAGAGGAGACTTCACCAAATAGCTCATTTCATTTTTAATTTTTCTAATTTCAGAGAGGTATTCTTACATTAGATTGACATACTCCATCTACTGGCCAATTCTACATGTTAGTTTCTTCTCCTGTCTTTCTACTAAAGTCAACTCCCCAAAACACGTACGTATAAAGACATATGCATACACATAAGTCCTTTCCCAATTGCTTAAAATATACTATATATGACAAAGTTCTTAGATTAGGAATGAATTTAAATCAAAAAAGTAATTCCGTCTTAAGTTCTAAACAATTTTACCTTAGTTTCATTTTTATTCCTTTCCTAATAAATATAAACTCATATTTCTTGAGCCAAGCTACATTGTTTTATGTTTGTTTGAATTTGTTAAGTATCTACTACGTGCCACATCCCCCGGAAGCCTCATGAACCCATCTAGAAGATGTTTGTTTATTCATTTAACAAATAGACCCCTATTAAACATTCAAGTAGAGATGTCAAGTGGTCGGTTGCATCTACAAATATATAGTTCAAGTTAGAGTTTAGAATTATAAAATTTAAAGTTATTAAACATAAAATAGTATTTTAATCATGGCTTAACATAAAATTACTGAGGAACTGGAGTTTGTAGAATAATCACAAGGGCCCAGAGCTGATTAATACTTAACAAAGCAATAGAGAAACAGGAGTAATTAAGAGACATAGTCTCTGCCCTAATGTTACTTATAATCTGAAAGAGAAGAAGTATAAATCTCGCTATGTTCTTCTAATTAAGAAGTTTTATGTGATAAAAATTTAAATCTAAATATCGTTTTTTTATGGCATAAATAGTAAGTTTTGTTTCAAGCATTTGTAAGAGACATGAGAGTGTACACATTGCCCCTATTTTTGAGGCCTCTCTGATTGTTCTATTCTCATTGTCTGTACTATCCTCCTCCTGTCTTCTTCCTAGCTAATTGCTATTCATCTTTATAATCCAGTTTTAACATTATCTCCCCTGAAATGCCTTCACTAATGCCCCCCTCCTATCATCCAGAATCCTAAAATTGTATTTTGTAAGTAAAATAATAGTAATAAAAATGGAATAATAGTCATCATCCATCTTGTCAACCATTCATACTAGATCTTCCTCCCACATGGGTAGCTCTTGAACTAGTCTAGGTGGCTTGTCTTGTAGTGTTATACAACGCCATAAGAAATATGAGCCTATGGTTTTACTTTTTAGTTTATGGGATGCTTTACATCCCTTAATTCATAGATGCATATACTTAGGAATGGAGAGAGTGTTTTAATTGATCAACATTAGAAAGTTATTGAGTTCTCAGAATCTAGAGCGCTTGATAATTATTATGAAAGGGACTGATTAAGACTGCTCTCAAAGAAGGGAGGTGAAGAAGGCAAGGTATGTCAGGAAAATGAAGCTAAGCAAGGATGCAGACTTGGCTGGCAATGATTTAAACCTTGTCCCATGTAGAGTTCTACATCAACAATTTTATCACAGTGTTAGTTCTGCCTTGAGTTAAGGGGTGTTAGCCTTTTTGCCTCCTATTAAGCAGTTGTTGGTAGCCAGCTGGCTCCTATAAGGAATGTAATATCCTGGGAAAGAAGACTTCCATTTATCCAAGGGCAGCTCTGAAGTACAGGGCATTTGTAGATTGTTGGCAGCTAATACGTGGCATTCAGGGGATGAGGGCACTGGCCCAGTGAAGGATATCTGGGAAGGTACCAAATACAGCAACTATAGCGCATCTCTTGGAGTGATCAGATATTCTTCTTAAATTCAGTTCATCCATGCATAGCTTCTCTGGGATTCTGATTGATCACAGAAATGTGATCAATATTTTGAGAGGAATATTTTGAGAGGAGAGTCATTAACACAAACCAGACATGCCGGTTTCAACCCTACCACATAGGATTTTGTAGGGTGTATGGACCAAGCTGTAGATCTTCTTGTACTGAAGATTAGACCTAATATGAATTCATTTCTTGCTCTTGGATATAGTCAAAATTAACAGCAGTATTAGTCGATTCTCATGCTGCTATAAAGAACTGCCCAAGACTGAGTAATCTATAAAGAAAATAGTTTTAATTGACTCTCAGATCCACATGGCTGGGGAGGCTTCAGGAAACTTACAATCATGGTGGGAGGGGAAGCAAACATACCCTTCCTCACATGGCAGCAGGGGAGAGAAGTGCTGAGCAAAGGAAGAAAAGTCCCTTATAAAACATCAGATCTGGCAAGAGCTCACTCACTATCACAAGAATAGCACAGGGGTAACTGCCCCCATGATTCAATTACCTCCTACCAGGTCCCTCCCACAACATGTGGGGATTATGGGAGCTACAATTCAAGATGAGATTTGGGTGGGGACGCAACCAAACCGTATCATGCCATCCCTAATTTTTCCCAAACCTCCTGTCCTCACATTTCAAAACACAATCATGCCTTTCCAACAGTCTCCCAGAGTCAGCTCATTCCAGTATTAACCCAGAAGTCTAAGTCCAAAGTCTCATCTGTGACAAGGCAAGTCCCTTTTGCATATGAGCCTGAAAAATCAAAAGCAAGTTAGTTACTTTCTAGACATAATGAGGTACATGATTTGGGTAAATACACCCATTCCAAATGGGAGTAATTGGCCAAAACAAATGGGCTACAGGCCCTATGCAAGTCCAAAATCTAAAGGGCAGTCATTAAACCTTGAAGTTTCAAAATGATCCACTTTGACTTTATGTCTCACATACAGGTCACTCTGATGTAAGAGGTGGGCTCCCACAGCTTTGGGCAGCTTCACTGCTGTGGCTTTGCTGCTTTCACAGGCTGGTGTTGAGTGTCTGTGGCTTTTCCAGGCACACAGTAGATCTACCATTCTGGGGCTGAGAGGAGGGTGGCTCTTTTCTCACAACTCAGCTAGGCAGTGCCACAGTGAGCACTCTGTGTGGGGGCAGTGCCGCAGTGGGCACTATGTGTGGGGGCTCTGACTCTGCATTTCCCTTCCACACTGCCCTAGTAGAGGCTCTCAATGAGGGCTCAGCTGCTGGAGCAAACTTCTGCCTAGACATCCAGGCATTTCCATACATCCTATGAAATCTAGGTAGAGGTTCCCAAACCTCAATTCTTTTTTTTTTTTAGTTATTATACTTTAATTTCTGGGGTACATGTGCAGGTTTGTTACACAGGTGTACATGTGCCAGGTAGGTTTGCTGCACCCATCAACTTGTCATTTACATTAGGTATTTCTCCTAATGCTATCCATCCCCCAGCCCCCCAGCCCCCAACAGGCCCCAGTGTGTGATGTTCCCCTCCCTGTGTCCATGTGTTCTCATTGTTCAACTCCCACTTATGAGTGACAACATGAGGTGTTTGGTTTTCTCTTCTTTGGTTGCTTTGCTGAGAATGATGCAAAGTATATAAACTCATTCTTTTTATGGCTGCATAGTATTCCATGGTGTATATGTGCCACATTTTCTTTATCCAGTCTATCACTGTTGGACATTTGGGTTGGTTCCAAGTCTTTGCTACTGTGAACAGTGCTGCAATGAAAATAAGTGTGCATGTGTCTTTATAGTACAATGATTTATAATCCTTTGGGTATATACCCAGTAATGGGAGTGCTGGGTCAAATGGTATTTCCAGTTCTAGATCCTTGAGGAATTGCCACACTGTCTTCCACAATGGTTGAACTAATTTACACTCCCACCAATAGTGTAAAAGCATTCCTATTTCTCCACATCCTCTCCAGCACCTGTTATTTCCTGACTTTTTAATGATTGCCATTCTAACTGGTGTGAGATGGTATCTCATTGTGGTTTTGATTTGCATTTCTCTGATGACCAGTGATGATGAGCATTTTTTCATGTGTCTGTTGGCTGCATAAATGTCTTCTTTTGAGAAGTGTCTGTTCATATCCTTTGCCCACTTTGTGATGGGGTTGTTTGTTTTTTTCTTGTAAATTTGTTTAAGTTCTTTGTAGATTCTGGATATTAGCCCTTTGTCAGATGGATAGATTCCAGAAATTTTCTCCCATTCTGTAGGTTGCCTGTTCACTCTGATGATAGCTTCTTTTGCTGTGCAGAAGCTCTTTAGTTTAATTAGATCCCATTTGTCTATTTTGGATTTTGATGCCATTGCTTTTGGTGTTTTAGTCATTAAGTCTTTGCCCATGCCTGTGTCCTGAATGGTATTGTCTAGGTTTTCTTCTAGGGTTTTTATGGTTTTTGGTCTTACATTTAAGTCTTTAATCCATCTTGAGTTAATTTTTGTATAAGGTGTAAGGAAGGGATCCAGTTTCAGCTTTCTGCATATGGCAAGCCAGTTTTCCCAGCACCATTTATTAAATAGGGAATCCTTTCCCCATTGCTTGTTTGTCTCAGGTTTGTCAAAGATCAGATGGTTTTAGATGTGTGGTGTTATTTCTGAGGCCTCTGTTCTGTTCCATTGGTCTATATATCTGTTTTGGTACTAGTACCATGCTGTTTTGATTACTGTAGCCTTGTAGTATAGTTTGAAGTCAGGTAGCATGATGCCTCCAGCTTTGTTCTTTTTGCTTAGGATTGTCTTGGCTATGTGGGCTCTTTTAGGTTCAATATGAAATTTAAAGTAGTTTTTTCCAGTTCTGTGAAGGAAGTCAGTAGTAGCTTAATGGGGATAGCATTGAATCTATAAATTATTTTGGGCATTATGGCCATTTTTGCGATACTGATTCTTCCTATCTATGAGTATGGAATGTTCTTCCATTTGTTTGTGTCCTCTTTTATTTAGTTGAACAGTGGTTTGTAGTTCTCCTTGAAGGGATCTTTCACATCCCTTGTAAGTTGGATTCCTAGGTATTTTATTCTCATTTTAGCAATTGTGAATGGGAGTTAACTCATGATTTGGCTCTGTTTGTCTGTTATTGGAGTATAGGAATGCTTGTGATTTTTGCACATTGATTTTTTATTCTGAGACTTTGCTGAAATTGCTTATCACCTTAAGGAGATTTTGGGCTGAGATTATGGGGCTTTCTAAATATACAATCATGACATCTCCAAACAGAGACAATTTGACTTCCTCTTTTCCTAATTGAATACCCTTTATTTCTTTCTCCTGCCTGATTGCCCTGGCCAGAACTTCCAATACGATGTTGAATAGGACTGGTGAGAGAGGTTTACTTGACTCACATTTCCGTGTAGCTGAGGAGGCCTCAGGAAACTTACAATCATGGTGGAAGGGGAAGTAAACACATCCTTCTTCACATGGCAGCAGGAGAGAGAAGTGCTGAGGAAAGGGGGAAAAGCCCCTTATAAAACCATCGTATCTCATGAAAACTCATTCAATATCATAAAACAGCCTGGGGCTGTTTTATGCCCCCATGATTCAATTACCTCCCACTGAGTTTCTCCCGTGACATGTGGGGATTATGGGAAATACAATTTAAGATGAGATTTGGGTGGAGACACAGACAAATCATATCAATTGTCTTTTCTGTCACCAAATAAACTAATTAGAGCAATATTTTCAAGTGTGGAATATCTCCAATAACTGAAGAGATCTCTAATATACTTTTCTTTTAGTGATAGGTGGCTCAAGGTGCAGTAAGATACCCTTTACTTTGGGGAGGATGTCCAAGCATGCACCAGACCAAAAATTTCACCAATATAGTAAGCTGCTGAACCTTTTTAGGTCCTCCCAACCTCTGGAGATTATGTGGCTTACTATGATACCCAATACACATGCTCCTCAGTTGCAGTGGGCATGCTCTCACTAAAAGAGTGTGACAGTGTGCTATTCTGTGGATTGTCTAGATTAGCATGGTTTAATAGAAATATAGTACAGGCTGCATATATAATTAAAATTTTCTGGTAACCATATTATAGAAAAAAAGGTAAATTAATTTTAATAATATATTTTATCTAATTCAACCTATCTGAAATGTTATCATTTTAACATGCTATCAATAGAAAAACTTAGAAGGCATAATCAATGTTTTTTTCCCCTTGCTCTGGATTTGAAGAGTGAATTTTTAAGGAGGTTCAATAGTCTCTCTGTCTTTGTTTAGTGTTACTATAAAGAAATACCTGAGGATGAGTAATTTATAGAGAATAGTTTATTTAGCTCACGGTTCTGCATACTGTCCAAGAAGATGGTGGCAGCCTCTGCTTCTGGTAAGGGCATCAGTCTGCTTTCACTCCTGATGGAGGGTGAAAGGAAGCTGGCATGTACAGAGATCACATGCCAAGAAAGGAAGCAAGAGAGAGAATGGGGAGATGCCAGCCTCTTGATAACAACCAGCTGTCCCAGGAACTAATAGAGGGAGAACTCACTCTCCCCCTCCTCAGTAAGGGCATTAATATGTTCATGAGGAGTCTGCCCCCATGACACAAACACTTCCCATTAGGTGATACCACCAACATTGGGATCAAATTGAAACATGGAGTGTGGTGGGACAAAACATTCAAGCTATGCATTCCTCTCCCTTTCCCCCCCACACAAACTCATGTCATTTTTACATTGCAAAATACAATCACTCCTTTTCAATAGTCCTCAAAAGTCCCACAATTTGTTCTAGCAGCAACTCAAAAGTCTAAAGTCCCAAATCTCATCTGAGACACAAGGCAATTCTTTCCAGCTATAAGTCTGTAAAAACAAGTTATTTACTTCCAAGATACAATGGTATAATAGACATTAGGTAAGCATTCTCATTCCAAAATGGAGAAATAGTCCAAAAGAAAGGTGTAACATGCCCCCACACAAGTCTGAAACCCAGCAGGGCAGACATTAAATCTTATAGCTCCAGAATAATCTCCCTTGACTCCATGTCTCACATCATGAGCACATTAGTGTGAAGGGTGAATTTTCAAGGTCTTGGGCAGCCTTATCCCCATGGCTTTGCTGGGCACAGCCCATGTGGCTGCTCTCACAGGTTGGATTTGAATTCCTGTGGCTTTCTCCAGGCTGCAGTTGCATGCTACTGGTGCCTTGATTATTACGGGTCCTCACTGTAGCCCCACCTCAATGGCTCCACTAGATATTGCCCCTGTGGGTATTCTTTATAGTGGCTCAGCTTCTGTGGCAAACTTCTGCCTGGGCATCCGGGCTTTCTGATACATCCTCTAAAATCTAGGTAGAAGTTGCCAAGCCTCTATCACTCTTCCATTCTGGGCACTTGCAGACTTAATACTGCATGGATGCCACCAAGGCTTATTGCTTACACCCTCCAGAGCAGTGGCTTGAGTTGTACCTGGAGCTGTTTGAGCTGTGGCTGGAACCAGAGCAGTGAGAATATAGGGAGCAGCATGTTGAGATGGTGCAGAGAAGCAGCATTTTGGCCCTGGCTCCCCAAACCATTCTGTTCTCCTAGGCTTCCGGGCCTGTGATAGGTGGGTCAGTCTTGAAGATTTCTGAAATGTCTTCAGGTCCTCGTTGGCATTTTCTTGATGATTAACATTTAATTTCCATTTATTCATGCTAATCTCTCTAGCAAGTTGTTGCTCATCTGCACCCTCAGAGTCCTCTCCTGATAATGCTTTTTCTTTGTCTGCCACATGGCCAGGCTGTAGATATTCCATATTTTAGTGCTCTGTGTCCTTTTTCATTATAAATCTCACCTTTAGGCCATTCCTTTGCTGCTGTATATGATCATAAACTGATAAAAATAACCATGCCAGTTCTTGAAGTCTTTGCTGCTTACAAATTTCTTCCATCAGATACCCTAGGTCATCACTCTCAACTTCAGCCTTCCACAAAGCCCTCAGGCATGAATACAATGTAGCCAAGTCCTTTGCTAAGGTGTAACAAGGGTGACCTTTGCTTCAATTCCCAATAGGTTTTTTATTTCCATTCAAGACCTTATCAGCTTGTCCTTTACTGTGTATATCTTTTTTCATTTTTTTTTTCTTCTTCTTCTTTTTTGTTTTTTTGTAGAGACAGGGTCTTACTATGTTGCCCAGGCTGGTCTCAAACTTCTGTCCTTAAGAGATCCTCCTTCCTCAGCCTCCCTAACTGCTAGGATTGCAGGCATAAACCACCAAGTGCAGCCAGTACTGTTTATAGTTCTATCAGCATTTTAGTAACAACCATTTGACCAATATCTAAGAAGTTCCAAACTTACCCTCATCTTTTCGTCTTATTCTGAGCCCTTAAAACTCTTCCAACCCATTACCCATTTCCAAAGACATTTCCACATTTTCAGGCATCTTTATAGTAATTCCCCAGTCCTAAGTATCAATTTCATGTCTTAGTCTGTTTAGCCATAAAGGGATACTTAGGGATGGGTAATTTATAAAGAGAAGAGAGTTATTTTGCTCATGGCTTTGCAGGCTATACAAGAAGCATGGTGCTAGCATCTGCTTCTGGTGAGAGCCTCAGGCTGCTTCCACTTACGATGTAAGGGGAAGGAGAGCCAGCATGTTTAGGGATTACATAGAAAGAAAGATGGGGGCGGGTAACAGGCTCTTATAAACAACCAGCTCTCCTGGGAACTAACAGAGGGTGTGAGGAGTCTGTTCCCATGACCCAAACACATCCCATTAGGCCCCTACCTCCAACATGGGGATAAAATTGCAATGTGAGTTTTGAGAGGAACAAACATACAAACTATAGCACTGTCTCACTAATTTATTCCTGTGCAGACAAGTCAAATAAAATGCATAAAGATATGTCTAATTCTTCTCTCTTAAGGAAGAAACCTGATAAAAAGTATGGAGAGAAGCCCTACGAACAATCATAGAAATTTTGCCATGCTCTGGGGCTAATATATAAGTGAGTAGCATACATATCTCCACTCCTCCAATGGCATCCATGCTTACATGGGCCTAGGATACTAGCTATAATTTAATCACTTTCTATCTTAAGAAAGTATAGTCAAAATCAGGACAGCAAGCGTGCCATCATTACAGGAATAATGCTGAACTTGTTTAACTTATGAAGAACTAAATTGTTTGCCAACTTTAATACTTTATTTTGTGTCATGACATGTTGATCTTTCCTAAGACCTAAATTTATGGCTGCTGGCATTTAGAGCAGAGCTGTAAAGGACATTAGAAATTATGTATTTTGATCCCCTTATTTTTCACATGACTTCCCAGGTAAGCCTTGGGAATGTCTGGATTGGCAATTATTTTTATGGTTTTTGTTGTTGGTAGTGGTGGTGTTCAGTAGTTGCCTCTGTTTGCTCAGCATTTATTTTTATGTTTTACAAAAGAATGTGTATTATGTCATGTTATAATTGAAAGCCACCAGGATAAGCAGCCTAAATCCAATTCCTCTTCATTTCAGTAGTCAAATTTCACATTTCATTATGACAGAATTAATTTGATGGCCAAATCTGGTGTGTTACTGCTTTCCAGCTAGATTTGCTTCCAATTTAACATCCTAACTATGCTTGTAAAATAGACAATAAAACAGTCTTTTCTGACTTGGGAAATACTCTTTATTCTTCATTTCTCTCTGCTCCACTGTAACATTTTAGCTGAGTTTTATGGAACAATCACTTTCCTCATCTAATTACTGCAATTCCCTGGTAGATGGCCTCCCTTGCCCTGCAACAGCAAAATTATCATAAATACACAATTCCACTGCCAGCATCTCATCTTGCACATGCGTCAGTGAGCAGAGCTAGGTTTTCCCCTCTCTAAATTGTGTTCTTGCTAAATTAACAGTTTTCATGTGAACCACTCAAGACTTTTTCCGACATTCCAACAAATACCCAAGAAAGTTAATCTTGCCTCATAGGTACTTTTCAGGCTCAGCTCCTAGTGCTTACACATAACTGTGCATACAGATGAACACTGAGCCAGAAGATGCCTAGTTGAATCCATAGGTACCAAGACTTTTCCTATATGGACTAGTTAAGGATAGCTCTTCAAAGGAGATCATAGCAAAAAATTATAGGTGCAGCAGCACCAACTTCACAGATCAGCTGCAAATCTTCATTTAACAAAAAACTTTACCCAGGTTATGCTAACGAATGAAAACTTGCTTTAGAAATCAACACAGAAAAGAATCTGGTCTACAATCCAGATATGGTTTCAGAATTGAAGAGGGAGCTGCTGATTCCAGCAAAGACCTGGACCTGAGGAGGCCTTAGAATCAAGCCAAGGCCAAGAATATCCTGAAGAGGAGATTCCAAGCAGAGTAGCCAGACAGTGTCTTACCACTTACACCTTCTTCCAATCACACACTATCATCAAGGTATTTATAAACAACTCTAAGTCTGGGATTAAGTCCAGAGAACAACTTGCTAAAGAATTTGGGAATAGGAAGGGGAACATCACACACCGGGGACTGTTGTGGGGTGGGGAGAGAGGGGAGGGATAGCATTAGGAGATATACCTAATGTTAAATGACGAGTTAATGGGTGCAGCACACCAACATGGCACATGTATACATATGTAACTAACCTGCACGTTGTGCACATGTACCCTAAAACTTAAAATATAATAATAATAAAATTAAAAAAAAAAGAATTTGGGAATACATAGTCAAGCGTCCAAATTTCTTTTCAAAATCAAAGATCTAGATTTCATGTCCAGAAAAAAGGGAATGATAAGACCTGAGAACAAAGAAAAAGCCAGGGACAAAATCTCCAAGGTAGGTTTGAGGTTTAGAAGCTACGCAAGGTAGCACCAACCTCACTAGCAACTGTCTCATTTCTCTGGAACCAAAACAAGGTGGACACAAAGACAAGTTCAGAGTACTAGATGTCATTAGCTTAGGCTCTAGATCTTTCTTTCACACTTCTGGAAATGTACATCTCCTCTGGGACTGCAAGCTGAGCCCTCTGCAGATGGTGAACAGGACAGCAGGATGCAGACAGGTACAAAAGGCACCATGTAGTCCAGCTGACATAGCCTGGCTTGAGAGTGCAGCAGACCTTGAGAACAATAAAAATAAACTTAATAATATCAGTTTTTAGTTGTTATAATTATGACTGATTAAGCAAAATTCATCAATAGAAGTTAAAAACATTGAATGAATACTTGACGAGGAAACAAAATTATACATTGTCTCAAAGAATCTCCTCATTGATTACTGATTAATTACAAAAGGAAAATTGGTAATATTGTAGAAACCTGATTGACTTCACCTTACCTAAAGGACTGAAATTCACGTCACAGTAATGGCACAAACCTACATGAGGTCTCTCCTGATATAATGTACTAAGAAAAACACAATATCTCTTTTGTAGTATTATTGCCAAAAAAGTACATAAGCTGAATCTAATCATGACAAAACATGAATCAAACCCAAACTGAGTGACAGTCTTTTCAAAGTAACATCCCTGTATTCTTCAACAGGAGTGGAATAATAGAAATGAACAAACAGTAGGACTCAGGAGATATTTAGGAAGTACATCTCCCAAGGACTTTTCTTCTATGTGTAGTATGTGCCACCATTTATGTGCAGGGGAAGAAAGATAACACATTCAGAGGTCTATTTGTGCCTAAAATTTCTTTCCAAAGATGATCAAGAAATTGTTAATATTGGTTATCTTCAGAGAAGGGAGGTAGAGGACTGGGTTGGGAGACAGAAGAGTTTTTCACTGTAATCTTTTTATCCTATTTGAACGTTTAAAAATCATTTCAATGTATTATATAAAGTTTTTTTTTAACTTCAAAAGGTGATTTTCAAACATAAGGTTAAATGAAAGAAACCAGACACAAAAAGAATGCATATTGTATTATTTCATTTACATAAATTTCAAAAGTAACCAAAACTCATCCATGGTACTAGATACCAGGCTATGGATTATTGTCGCCCTGAGATGGACACACTGGTTGGGAGAAGCACAGGGCAACTCTGGGGGCCTGGTCAATTCAGTTTCTTAGGCTGCTCTGGGTATGCGTACGTGTGCAATTGGAGAATTGGAGAATTCGGCAAGCTGTATCCTGGTGACCTATGCAGTGTACTCTATGTGTGTTATACTTCAACTTTTTAAGAGTTTGTGATTTGTTTTAAAAAAAAGAAAAGAGAAAAAACAAAGCCTAACTACATTGCAAAGCCGTTATTTGTCCCTTTCTTCAAAGTGAAGGTAAAGAGCCATTGGCTCTTAACCAGGTAAATTAGTTATTCTTTTCAAAGCAAGAAATCACCAACTTTATAAGGGGAGTGTACAAATTGATCTTCACTTATATTTCCAGTCTAATTTACTGCCACTTCCAACGATGAATTTTATGTTTCCATTATTTTGCAGACTTGTAGTCCCCTGAATATGTATGCACTTCCATGTACCTGTGCCACTAGGAAACGCCTTCTCACTGCTGAAATGTTGTTCTCTTTACTTGTCTTCTATTCAATTTACATTCGCCCTGAAATTTCAGCTCAATCAACTTGCTTTGTAAAGCCTACCCTGCTTTAACCCCTCACACACTGGTTAAGGCACTTTTCATATTGCATTAAAATGCTTGGGTTACATGTCTTACCTCCTTCACGAAATTGGTCATTAGGCTTTGAAGTAAGCAATGTGGGTTCAAGCTGGGCGCAGTGGCTCATGCCTGTAAACCCAGCACTTTGGAAGGTCGAGGATCACTTGAGGCCAGGAGTTTGAGACCAGATTGGGCAACATAGCGAGACCTCATCTCTACAAAAAATTTAAAAATTTAGCTTGGCGTAGTGTCACATGCCTATAGTCCTAGCTACTCAGGAGGCTGAGACAGGAGGATAATTTGAGCTTGAGAGTCAAAGTTACAATAAGCTATGATCACACTGCTGTACTCCAGCCTGGGCGACAGAGCCGATCCCAACTCAATGAAATAAAATACAGTTGAATTAAATTAAACAGTAAAATAAAGTAAATAAAATGAAAGGGAAATGTGGGTTCAAGCCCAAACTATACTTCTTAATAATTTTGCATTTGTTGACAAATAACTTAAACATGCAGTTTAAAAGCTTGGGATCCAGCATCAAACAAAATTCAGGATTGGCTTCTGGCTCCATTACTAAATTGCTATTTAACTTCTGGCCAGTTTCTTAACCCTGTAATTCTCAGTTCGCTCCTCAGTACAGTAAAATACTGACCTCATCAGATTGTTGTGAGGATTAAATGAGATGACACGTTCTCTCAGTCACATAGTGAATACACAGAAAGGTAGCCATGTTATGAAAATGCTGAGTCTCACTTTTCTCATCTCTAATATGGGAACATCAATCTTCTATTCACAAGGCTGTTGTGAACAAAGAAACAACATGTTGCCGGACACTTTATTTGTGCTCAATAAGTTTTATTGAATGAATAAATAATTAATGGTGTATGTAGAGTGTCTGCTGAAATGTACTGATGATGGCTTGCTTTGTTCTGATAAGAGGTTATTATGGGAAGAGCTAAAGTTATGGGATTAGAGTCACACATCCCTTGAACAGGCAAAGAATTTCCCTCACTCAGACCTCTAACATTCTGAACATAAAATACTAATGAATGTCATTCACATGTTTTCAAATATGTAGTACCCAGTGAATTCCACATTTTTTAAAATAGGTATTCCTGGAGGCTAACTACTTACTGATTAATTTTGTTAATTGGTCCAATAATTACAACATTCTTTTTTATTTCCTCAGATAAAATCTACTGTTTTAGTGTAATTGTTAGTTAAATATGCTTTTAGATTGCCAGATCAAGTGATGGGAAACAATATTTTGAGTCTCAAATGACTGTTTGAAAATAAACTTTTGTAAACTAACCTGTTTGTATGGAATATATATATGTCTTCTATAGACACACATCATACACACACACACGCACACACACAGAGAGAGAGAGAGAAAATTTTAAAACTTGATGGATTTTTCTAAAAATGAACTTTGCAATGAATTCGTAGAAATTTTCTTTAAGATTATGTCTGCATTAAAAATGAGAAAAAAACCCTGTTAAAAAAGGATGAAAATGTTTTCTATAGAACACTTGTCCATCTGCATCAAAAGCATTTTATTTCCCCAGCTGCTATTAGTTTATATTGAATGCATATTCAGATGCGCTTCTACATACTCAGTCATCTTTTTTTTTCTTCAATGCACGTTGAGCAATGTTTGAAACAGGATTAGTTTTCAGCTTAACTGAATATGGCATTTTGATAAATTCAAGGAAATGGCTAACACAAGTATATTCAGAATGCATTATTTACAAAACTGAGCATTTTTTCTGAATCCTTTTATATTTGTTTTCTTTCTTTTTGTTCTTTAATACGTATCTTTCATGATAAATGTAAAGAAATTTCGATAAGCTTTGAAAAATGTTGATTTCAAGATATTGGACCTGAACTCAAATTAATGTTTTCATTAGCTTATAATTCTGAGCATCTTCTATATTATTAGCAATTATTTATAAATTAGTTGTGACCTTACAAGATCCTGATCGAGTAGGCATGATTATCTCTTATTTTAAGCTAGTTTCTTCAGAAAATTTATTGTGATGAGAAATAAATATGTAAGTAAATAAATATTGATATTCACAACTTCTTACTTTCCTCTTTCTAATATTTGATCTTTGTTTTCTTGATTACTGGACCTTGTCATATTCACTAAGAGGATGGGTGAAAGGGAGAATTGAGAGGAACCAAGGAAGATTTCATTAGTTTCTAATGGAATAGAAACAATATTAATGTAGAACAGAAAGAAAAAGGCCTGAAATGAGAAAGGAGTAAGGGAGGCCTATAAAACAAGGTAAGGTAGAATGGAGAGAATTTTCAAAGATTTTTGGAGGGGAGTGAAGGAGGAAGTAAGGATGGGGGAAGATAGAGAGAGAGAGAGACAATTTGGGTTTGGAGAAAACTGTCATCATAACCTTGTAAAGCTCATTGGACACTGTGTTAAGTTTTTATTACTATTGCAACAGATTATCACAAAGTTGGCAGTTTAAAATAACACACATTTATTATCATATAGTTTGGAAAATCTAAAATCAGTCTCACTGGGTTAAAGTGAAGGTATAAGCAGGGCTGCATTTCTTCTGGACCTGCTAGGAGACTATACACATCCTTGCCCTTTCTAGCTTTGAGATGGCCTGCATTCCCTGGCTTGTGGTCCCTTACATCTTCAGAGCCAGCGGTGGCTGGTGGAGTCTCACATTGTAATATTCTGACACTGGCTGTTCTGCCTCCCTCCTCTACATTTAAGGCCCTTTGAAGCTACACTGGAGCCACCCATATACTCCAGAATAGTCTCATTATTTTAAGGCTATCTGATAACAATCTTATTCTCACTTGGAACCTTTATTCTTCTTTGCCATGCCACAGGTCCTGGGAATTAGAATATGGACATCTTGGAGCCACTATTCTGCCTACCACAGACATTAAACCTATATCCTTTATTTTACACAGGACAAAACTGTGCCCTGAAAAATAGAATTACTTCCCCAAGATAAACATTCTATAATAATAAGCACCGATGCAAAAATATTCTGCCACTTGACTCATTAAAAAGCATGTAGAAATTCAATTTAACTTCAATTATTTTTGGTGGCTTTGTTTTCTCCATAAAGAATATGTATTAGTCTGTTCTCATGCTGCGAATAAAGACATACCTGAGACTGGGTAATTTAGAAAGGAAACAGGATTAATTGACTCAGAGCTCTGCAGGGCTGGGGAGGCCTCAGGAAACTTACAATCATGACAGAAGGGGAAGAAAACACATCCTTCTTCACATGGTGGCAGCAAGGAAAAGTGCAGAGCGATGGGGGGAGAAGACCCTTATAAAACTATCAGATCTCATGAGAACTAACTCACTAACCCAAGAACAGGATGGGGGAAACCACCCCCATGATTCAGTTATCTCCACCTGGTCCCTCCCGTGACATGGGGATTATGGGAACTACAATTCAAGATGAGATTTGGGTGGGGACACAGCCAAAACTAACAGGATAGTATATGCTTATAATCAATGATAAGTATTTATGTTTTTCATGACTTTTTATTATACATGTCTTTGATTTCCGTGCACTTTTTCTGTGGAATTTTTTTTCTTATAGAGTTATAGTGAGAAACAAGTGATTTACTATAGCTCTCTTGCACCATGGAATACTACAACTGTTAGTTTCATGTCTTCAATTGAGGACTGCATTACTTGAGGACAGGTGTTCTTCTCTTATTGATCTCAATTTACACATTTTATTTTATAGTTCTTGTTAGAATGTGTACAGGTAAGCAGTTAAATACTCTTTAAGTGCATGTATGAATGTAGGACAGAAGGAATGAGATAGCAATAAAATCCCTGGATGACAAGTAAATAGATCTTACTGGTTTCTAGTCCAAGCCTTGCCACCAATGTTTGGTGTTGCCTTTCAATAACCCATCAGAAATGATGCAGCACAACTGGATCTTTTTCAAGTTTCTTTTTTCCTAGTTCTAAAGTTCTGTGATTTTAAAGGTGTTGGAAACACTTTTTCGATCTCCCACCCAAGGTGGCATATAAATGCCATCTATGGGAATGTGATTTTGATTTTACTGAGCAGCAAGATTATCAAGATCCCATCATTCATGAAAAGCAAAGCTAAGTCAGTCAGTGGGAGGAAGAGAAACCAAAAGACCCAGAAAAAAAGAACATGGGAAAAAAAGTAAAGGTAAATTTCAATATCTGTGCCTTTTCTTTTCTACAATGAAGAGTACAATGGCTAATAGTTTGCTAATTTCTCATATTTTTGTTTGCTTGACAAATTGTTTGAAGGTAAGGATAATATCGTACATCCTCCCCATTCCATGGGCTTGGTCTGTACACATTTAATTCTGAGTCCTGGCACATACGGAAACTGGGTTAACAAAAGTTGCCCCTGATAATGTGGCTTCAGGTAAGAAAAATTAAAAAAAAACAGACTCCAACACAAAGATATGTTGAAGTATTGTGATAAAGCTTGATTATCTTGGATGTTCCATTTTCAGTATTGAAAACTTTTTCCCACCACAACTTGATATCTATATATTCACTCAAGTGCCCAAATGCATACACTTGTGGCTCACTGACACACATGAACATGCACAAACACATACATACCTCATAGAGTAAAACAAGAGGAAAATGAATGATCATTTCTATTCATAGGCTGAGGGAAAAATGAGGTCAGATTCTGGACAAAAGTGGTAAACATATGCAGTGGTCCCAAGGAACAGACCTATGGATCTCTGTATGTCCAGTTCATCTGCACTTCCAAACCCATTATTCCCATACACTCTTTATAACATTGGCAATCACAACTTGAACCTGAAACAAACACTGTTCTATAACATTGTTTTTGCTACAGTTACTATGAGATTGACTAGCAATGTTTAAAAATAGATCTTGTTGCCGGTCATTTTCATTATCTGGAATGAAGCACTGACTTCACACTTGATTTTTGCAAGCAGATCTGTTCATTTGTTCATACAATAGTCACCAAAAAACAATTGATTTGGCAAAGGTCTTATTTTTGTAGATGACTTTTTATTTCACTTTTGTATATGTGCCTTATTTCACTTTTGTTATTGTCTTCATTTCACCCCATGCAGTGTTAACAAGAAGGGCTTACTGTCTTTATTGTAAAGAAAGTGAGATGTGACTTTTCATTAGCATTAACAGCAATTTAACCTATCACCTATCATATCCTGGTCTACATGCTCAGGACAGAGAGAGCCCGGTTTATCATACCGGGCCTCCAGGCATCTTCCCAAATGTATAAGGAATCAAGGGCTCAGTGGGTCAGAATTAACAATGCCCAGAATTGCCACTTTCTGAGTGTGTCCCAAGTGGCTTGTTTCCCTGACTGTAAATCGCCTATCTTTCTCTTTTGTGTGCAGAGATCTTTGGAAATATTGAGATTCAATGTATACACTGGAGCTTGAGCTAAAAAACGAGAAATAATGACAAACTGCAAAAAAAGTCACCATGATTATTTTAACAAAATATCCTCTGGTTTCTTCCAGTGACGTCTATATGAACATAAGTCTACTAGTCTAAATTTGAAACTTTTCTCTAATTATGATGGCTTAGGTTTACAAAGTGACACATGCTTCAAGGTGCTGTGCTCCTTACTGCCTCTCTGCTTTCACTGATGTCCTGTTTTTTTTTGGCCTTTTCTTGTTTTGCCCATCTTTGAAGGCCCAGCTTATGTATGTAGCCTTCTGTCAATTAAATCAAGGCAAGATACTCAATTGCCTGGGTTATCAATTTGCCCTGTGTTCCTTATTCCCCATTCCTTGTCCTATTCAAGCTTGTGTCCTTTTGACTGGTTGCGTGTGCCTCTCATCTTGCTGGAGCTCTTTGAGATCAGGGACTGTGACTCATTCATCTAAACATGGAAGGATGTGATTTTCTGTTTTCTTCCTCAACTTGTTTCCTGCCCACTCTTATTTCTCATGGGAAAAGAGATTTTAGAAGAATATTAGGTATTCCAGATTTCTATAGAGAATGATTTTTTTCCTTTTCTTATTTTTTAATATTTTTAGGTACATAGTATATATATATATAAATATATATACATGTATTTTAAATACATGTATATATAATACATGTATATACAATATATATACATATATACTAGATACTATATACATATACTATATATATAGTATATATATATAGTAAATTGCCTATCATTCTCTTTTGTGTGCAGAGATCTTTGGAAATATTGAGATTCAATGTATACACTGGAGCTTGAGCTAAAAAACAAGAAATAATGACAAACTGCAAAAAAAGTCACCATAATCATCTTAACAAAATATCCTCCGGTTTCTTCCAGTGACATCTATATGAACATGTCTACTAGTCTAAATTTGAAACTTTTCTCTAATTAGGATGGCTACTAGTAATATATATATATACTACTAGTAGTATGTGTATATACGTATATACACTATATATATATACTATATACTATATATATAGTATATATGTATATGTACTCATCCCCTCAAGCATTTATCCTTCGAGTTACAAACAATCCAATTACACTCGTTAAGTTATTTTAAAAATGTACAGTTTATTGACTGTAGTCACCCTATTGTACCATCAAATAATAGGTCTTATTCATTCTTTCTATGCCCATTAACCATTCTTATTAACAAAGCAGAGGCTTAAAGACGCTCCTCACTGAAGATTACCTATTGCCATCCAAATTGGAACCAGGGTGAATCCTAACCATCTCAATTATAAATAATAGGTTCGAGGTTAAGTTAGAGTCTTTGAAGAAGTGAAGAGGAGCAGAAACTGAAAGAAGAAAAGGGAACAGGAAATAAGGAGCATTTGGGCCCTATCTATGGTTATGGTTAAAAGGACTGATAGAGTTTGGCTCTGTGTCACCACCCAAATCTAATCTGCAGGTATTGAGGGAGGGACCTGCAATCCCCACGTTTCAAGGGAGGGAAGTGTAATCCCCATGTGTCGAGGGAGGGGAGTGATTGGATCATGGAGGCAGTTTCCCCCATGCTGTTTTTCTGATAGTGAGGGAGTTCTCGTGAGACCTGATGGTTTTAAAAATGGCAGTTTTTTTCCTGCTCTCTCACTTCCCTTCTGCTACCTTGTGAAGAAGGTGCCTGCTTCCCCTTTGCCTTCCACTATGATTGTAATTTTCCTGAGGCCTCCCCAGCCATGTGGAACTGCGGTCAATTAAGCCTTTTTTCTTTATAAATTACTCAGTCTTGGCCAGGCACAGTGGCTCATGCCTGTAATCCCAGCACTTTGGGAGGCCAAGGTGGGCAGATCACCTGAGGTCAGGAGTTCAAGACCAGCCTGGCCAACATGGTGAAACCCCATCTCTACTAAAAATATAAAAATTAGCTGGGTGTGATGGCGGGCACCTGTAATCCCAGCTACTTCAGAAGCTGAGTCAGGAGAATAGCTTGAATCCAGGAGGCAGAGGTTGCAGTGAGCCGAGATCATGCCATTGCACTCCAGCCTGGGTGACAAGAGCAAAGCTCCATCTCAAATAAATAAATAAAAACTCAGCTCTGATATTTCTTTATAGCAGTGTCAAAATGGACTAATACAAGGACTGAATATAGACTCAGTAGGTAAAATAAAATTATCAGTACCCTCATTTGGGACCTTGTTACATGAGATTATATCCTGTCTGGTTTTAGATTATATCTGTAAACCCTTTGAAAATAGTATGGGACAAAAGAGCAGAGTTTAATAGATAGATATGGATAGAGAGCCAGAGAGCCAGAGAGATACATGCTGTAGGCACTTTGTACCTAACAGTTGTGCAATATAAATATTTGACAAATTCAATGGCTTGCAATTCCTGAAAAAAAAAATTACAAACATCATTTCATCCTGAGTTCATCCTCAGTCAAGTGAGCATTACAGAGTGGCTTAGTGTAATCCTCTGCTTGAGATCAGCAGATTCATTAGCTCAGACAGGTGGAAAAGAGTAAATACATGAGCTGCTAGACTGCAGCAAAAGCCTGCTTCTCTTATTCCCGCTCAGTGGACCCTGGCACACCGGCTCTCTGCTCAGAGTCCCTGTGTTTGAGGGATGGCTTAGTATAGCTCAGTTGCAACATGATGACACTTGCATAGGATAAAGGAAGATAGAAAGGAAGATGGAGCCACTGAGCTTGCAGTGGGCAGGACATGACAAGTATAGCTTTATTTATTTGGACTGAAAATCACAGCTGGAAAGTGACTTGGAATATGTACCCATATACATCATCGTGGGGTGCAAATCGCCACAAACTTTTAGACAATACTTTGGTAATATTTGTTAAAAGTACAAATGAATAACTTTTCAGCAAGCAGTTCACCTTCTTTAAAGAATATATCCTATAGAATTAATAGCACCAACGCAGTTGTGTGCACAAGGATGAGTATATAGCTATTAAAAAGAATGAGTTATTTACATAATGACCTGAATGATGTATGTTATATTGAGATTAAATGCATATGCCTGAGATACACACACACACACACACACACACACACACACACACATATGCTCTCTCTCTCTTATGGACACAAACATATATGTTTTTTATATATATATATATATGATTTTTTCCATTATCAGAGATTGCAATAACAATATAGGTATTTATGCATATTCTTATAAGCATAGAGGAATGTATAGAAGGAACTTTCTAAAACCGGATTAGCTGTAACATCTCTGGCATTTATACATAGATAGTTCTTTCCAGTCCTAGAGAAAAAAAACTGAATCTCAAAGTGGTTATGAACATTTTCCAAAGTAATAAAATGGGAAAGAAGAGGAGATGGAGCTAAAATACAGTTTGAACTACACTGCTTCCTATAAGTTACACTTTTATTGTTATGTGCGTGTATGTGTGTGTGTTGTGTAGATATTTGTGGAATGATGAATTGGCTCATTTTATAGTTTGTAGAAAAGAGGTTGCCCTTAGGGTTGGAAAATCTGGGCCTGGGCCTAAGTCCTTGCTGTGTCCTTTGTCTCTTTGATTCGAGCTATTTACTTAACATTTCTTTTTCTTCTTTTCTTTCTTTATTTTTTTCTTTTTTCTTTTTTTTTTTTTTTTTGAGATGGAGTCTCATTGTCACCCAGGCTGGAGTGCAGTGGCGTGATCTCAGCTCACTGCAACCTCTGCCTCCCGGGTTCAAGTGATTCTCATGCCTCAGTCTCCCAAGCAGCTGGGACTATAGGTGTGTGCCACCATGCCCGGCTGATTGTTTTGTATTTTTGGTAGAGACGGGGTTTCACCATGTTGGCTAGGCTGGTCTCGAACTCCTGACCTCAGGTGATACCCTGATCTCGGCCTCCCCAAGTGCTGGGATTACAGGCGTGAGCCACTGCGACCATCCTTCACTTAACATTTCTAAGCCATGTTCCCTCAATTCTGAAAAGGGAATAATAATTCCAGCTCACATCTCCTTACAAAATTGTTGTTAGGGTTAAAAAAGATAATACAATACATATAAAATATGACTAGGTTATATGATAGCCCCTTTATGTAACCAGGGGCTATCCATGTTTCTGTTATCATTGTGTATCCAGCACACAACACAGTGCTTAGAATAGAACAACTGCTTCATAGTACTTTTTTAAAAAAATGTAAAGCTTATTGAAGTATAATTTCCATGTAATAAAATTCACAAAATTTAAATGTAAAGCAAACATGTATACTTCTTCTTTTTTTTTTTTTTTTGAGACGGAGTCTTGCTCTGTCACCAGTCTGGAGTGCAGTGGTGCAATCTCGGCTCACTCACTGCAACCTCTGCCTCCCGGGTTCAAGTGATTCCCCTGCCTCAGCCTCTCGAGTGGCTGGGACTACAGGCATGCACCACCATGCCCGGCTAATTTTTTGCATTTTAGTAGACTGGGTTTCACCATGTTGGCTAGGATGGTCTCGATCTCCTGACCTTGTGATCTGCCTGTCTCCGCCTCCCATAGTGTTGGGATTACAGGCATGAGCCACTGTACCCAGCCACATGTAACGTTTTATAACAACCGCTTGATTAAGGTAGAGAACACTACCATCACCCAAGAAAAGTTCATTATGCCTGCCTCACTTGGTAAACACTAATCTGATTTCTATCACTAAAGAATAGTTTGCCATACTCTAGAAATTTATATATTATCTTTTGAAGAACATAAGGTTTTAATTTTGACAAAGTCTAATTTATATATTTTTCATTTATTAACTTTTAATGCTTTAAACATATTAATTTTCGGTGCTATTTTGTACTAAGAAATAATAGTTTACACCAGGTTAACAAAGATATTGTCCTGCGTTCTTCTGGATGTTTTATAATTTTAGCTTTTCCATTTTGGTCTGTGTTATAAGTTTAAATGTTTTGAATCCTGTAACATAACGGTTGTGTTAATGTGTGTCTATGTGTGTGTGTTTATATGTCTGTTTATACTGGCTGTAGTCCCAGCCAGTTGTTTCAGTACAAGTTTTTGAGGAGACTACTCTTTATTTATTGGATTTCTTTGGCACCTTTGTCAAAAATCAATTGATCCAAAATTAGAAAAATGCATATCAAAATTATGAGATGCCACTTCATACCCACTATGATGGCTATAATAAAAAAAGACAATAACTATGTTTTTGTGGGGAAAATGGACTCTTCCTACACTCCTAGTAAAAGTATAAAATGATGCAACTGCTTTGGAAAACAGTCTGGAAGTTCTCAAAATGTCAAACATTAAGTTACCATTTGACTGAGCAATTACATCCTAGATATAGACCCAAGAGAAATGAAAACATACATCCACAGGGAAATTTATACACGCATGTTCATAGCATCAATATTCATAATAGCCAAGTGAAAACAATCCAGATGTCCAACGATTAATAAAGGGATAAATAAAATGTGGTACATCCATACAGGAGAATATTATTTGGCCATAAAAAAGGAATGAAGTACTGATACATGCCACAATACAGATGAACCTTGAAAACAGTATGCTAAGTGAAAAAAGCCAGTCACAAAAGAAGACCACATATTGCACCATTCCATTTATATGAAATGTTCAAAATAGACAACTCTGTGCCAACAGAAAGAAGATTAGTGGTTGCTTAGGGTTGGAGGAGGTGTTTAAGGAGAAAGAAGACTGTGGGATTTCTCATTGGGGTGATAAAAATATTCTAAAGTTGATTGTGTTGACTGTTACACAACTTTGTGGATATACTAAAAATAGTTTAATTGTACAGTTTAAATAGATAAATTGTAGGATGTGACTTGTTTATATTACTGCAGTAAAGAGTTTATTAAAAAATTAATTGATTATATATAATCAATTAATTATAAAACTACAGTATTCAAGACACGATGGTATAAACATAAAGACAGATATATGGATAAATGAAGCAAAATGGTATTTCTGGTTTATCTATTTTGATTTATTTATCCATATCTATCTTTATGTTTATATCATCGTGTCTTGAATACTGTGGTTTTGTGATGACTAACGGAAATAGAGAATGTAAGGACTTCAACTTTGATTTTTCCCCAAAATATTTTTGACTCTTTTAGATCCTTTATAATGTGCCACATAAATATTTGAACTCAGTCTGGAAATTTCTACAAAAATGCTTGCTGCGATTTTCAGTGAGATTTCATGTGGAAAGAATGGGCATCTTAATACTATTGAATCTTTCAATGTGTAAATGACGAACATCTCTTCATTTATGTAGACTTTTTAATATTTCTCTCAGCAATGACTCTTTCCCACTAGTTTTCTGTTTTTAGTATAGAGGATTTTAATGTTTTTGGTGAAATTCACTTTTTATTATAATTTTGTTTTTGTTTTCCAATCATTTTTTGCTGGAATCTAGAAACATGAATGGTATTTGTATATTTGCTTTATATCCTGCAATCTTTTTACAAGGGGACTTCAAAAAGTTCATGGAAATTATTATGAAAAACCTAAGCATGAATTTCAAATTATTTTTGCACCAAAATAATTCGGACTAACTTGTTACAACACATCTGAACAGGATCCAGCTTGAGGCACTAAGAAGGATAAGACATCAGTTTCAAAAGAGCTCCTATCAGAGCAATATGAATTCTGCTCAAATTGAAGCAAGGACAAACATCAACTTTGTGGTGAATCTTGAATGGAAGAATGGTGAAACCATTGATGCTCTACAAAAAAAATTATGGAGACAATGTCCCAAATAAATTAGCAGTCTAGAAATGTATAACTCATTTTAAGAAGGGACCAAATAATGTTGAAGCCAAAGCCCACAGCAGCAGACCATCAACATCAAGTTATGAGAAAAAAATTAATATTGTTTTTGCTCTAGTTAAAGAGGACTGACAGTTAACAGCACTAACTATAGCCAACACCACAGACATGTCTATTGGCTCAGCTTACACAATTCTGACTGAAAAATTAAAGTTGAGCAAACTTTCCGCCTTACAGGTGCCAAAATTGTTGTGACCACAGTAGCTGAAGAGCAGAGGTTTCAACTGAAATTATATATAAGCGAGGACAAGATCCTGAAGCATTTCTGAAACCATGCAATGGCTTCTTCTTGCCCGTTGCCTAGACAGAGCTGATTGATCAAGACAGGGACATTGAAATAGAGAGTTTAATTCTCCCAGAGCTGGCTGTACAGGAGACTGGATTTTTATTATTACTCAGATCAGTCTCCCCAAAAATTCACAGATTGGCGTTTTTAAGGATAATTTAGTGAGTAGGGATTTGGAAAGTGAGGAGTACTGATTGGTCAGGCCGAAGATGAAATTGTAGGGAGTCGAAGCTGTCCTCTTGCACTGAGTCAGTTCCTGGGTTGGGGCCACAGATCAGATGAGCCAGTTTATCAGTCTATCTGGGTGGTGTCAGCTGGTGCATTGGAACACAGGGGCTGAAAAATATCTCAACCATTGACATAAAATTTTACAACAGTGACTCCTAAGTCATAATTCCTAATCTTGTAACTAATTTGTTAGTCCTGCAAAGGTGGTCTAGGCCCCAGGCAAGAAGGGGTTTTGTTTTGGGAAAGGGCTGTTGTCATCTTTGTTTCAATGTTAAACTATAAACTAAGTTCTTCCTAAAGTTAGTTAGATCTATTCCTATGAATGAACAAGGGCAATTTGGAGGTTAGAAGCAAGATGGAGGTGGTGAGGTCAGGTCTCTTTCACTGTCATAATTTCCTCAGTTATAATTTTTGCGAAGACAGTTTCATTTCTTCGAAGATTTGTAACAGCAGATGAAACACAGCTTTACCAGCACAATCTTGAAGACAAAGCACAATCAAAGCAATGGCTTCCAAAAAGTGGAAGTGGCTCAGTCAAACCAAAAGCAGACAGGTTCAGATCAAAGGTAATGGCAACCATTTGGGGGGATGCTCAAGGCATTTTGCTTGTTGACTTTCAGGAGGGCCAGAGAATGATAAAATCTGCTTATTAAGAGAGTGTTTTGAGAAAGTTACCCAAAGCTTTAGCAGAAAAGCGCCCAGGAAAGCTTCACTGGCGCATTCTTCTGCACTGCAACAATGTTCCTGTTCACTTCTCTCATCAAATAAGGGTCATTTTGTGGGAGTTTCTATGAGAAATCATTAGACATACACCTTACAGTCTTGATTTGGCTCCTTCTGACTTCTTTTTCTTCTTAATCTTAAAAAAATCTTTAAAGAGCACCCATTTTTCTTCAGTTGATAACGTAAAAAAGACTCTTTTGACATGGTTAAATTTCCAGGATCTTCAGTTCTTTAGGGATGAACTAAATGGCTGGTATCATCGCTTATACAAGTGTCTTGGCCTTGATGGAGCTTATGTTAAAAATAAAGTTTATTATTTTCATTTTTATCTTTTAATTTCATTTTTCCATGAACTTCTAGACATCTCCTTGTAGTTTCATTTACTAAGTCTAGCAATTTTTTGGTGTGTTCCTTATGATATACTATTCAGACAATTATGTTTTGCTTTCTTTTTTCCAATCTTTATGCATGTCATTCCTTTTTTGTATTATTGCAATGGATAATACAATACTGAATACAAATTTTAAGAGTGAACATACTTTTCTTGTTTCCAATTTTAGAGAGAAATCATTTGGTCTTCAACCATTACGTATAATGTAGTCTGTAGGATTTTTTTATAGATGCTCTTTAACAAGTTAATAAAATTTTATTCTACTTACAGTTTACCAAGAGGTTTTATTTATTTTTTAAGGAATGGTGTTAGACTTCATCAAATGCTATTCTTTTTCTATTAATATGATCATGTAACTATTCTATTAGTGTGGTGGCTTATAATAATTGATTTTTGAATACTAAAATAAGCTTGGATGTATGGGATAAACCCTGCCTGGTCATAATATGTGTTCCTTTTTATGTACCCCTAGATTTAATTCTCTAACATACTCTTAAAGATTTTTGCATCTATTTTTATGAGAGATATTGATTGTAAGTTTCTTGGAATTTTTTCTTTGGAATCAGATTTTAATAGCATGATTACATTGGCCTTGCTCAACAAGCGTGGAAGTGTTCTGGATTTCCTAAAAGTGTTTGTGTATTGGTCTTATTTCTTCCTTGAATGTTTGATAGTCACCATGATGCTGATTAGCAATTGTTTCCAAATTGATTTTCTCTTTTGCTTGCTTCTTTTCTATTCTGTTGATTTCTGCTCTTATCTTGAACATTTCTTGTGTTTTGTTTGCTCTTTAAGCTTCTTAAATTGGAGAGCAACATATAGTGCTTGATTTCAGCCTTTCACTTTTTCTTAAATATCCACTTAGATTTATAAAATTCCCTCTTGCAATGACTTAAACTGAATTACAAAGGTTTTAGTGTTGTTTTTTCATTAGCATTCAATTCAAAATATTTTCTAATTTCTTTAGTAATTTCTTCTTGGATTCTGGGTTATTTAGATGTATGTTTTTTAATTTCCAAATATTTGAGAGTTGTCTGAATACCTTATTGTTACTGATTTCAAATTCAATTCTGTTGTATTCATAGTATATACTTTGTAAGATTTTAATATCAATTAAAATAAATTTAAAATAAATAAATGAAAATATAAAGATTTTAATTTCTTGAAATGTATTGAGAATTTTTTTGCCTATTTCCCAACATGGTCTAATTTGTTGAACATCCCATCTGTATTTGGTCAGTGAGGTAAGGGTAATTTATACTGTGATTTAGATTATATATATTTTTACTAATTTTTTTTCTACCTGTTCTTCCCTTACTGAGAGTGGGATGCTAAAATCCCTGGCTATTCTTGTATATTTGCCTATTTCTCACTCTAGTTCTATCAGTCTGTGCTTCATGCACTGGGTGCTTAGTTATTATAAGCATACGTGTTTTTGATTGATATGTCTTCCCAGTAAATTGTTTCTTTCATCATTATACAATCTCCTCCTTTATCTCTCATAAAACTCCTTATCCCGATATCTCTTTTAATTTGGAGTTAAAATGGTAACATCTATCTTCATATGCTTACTCTATGTACCCTGTATCCTTTTAATCTCTTTATTTTCTTTTATTTTTTTTTCTTAGAAATTCAAACGTATTTATTTTACTTCTTCACTTTAGGTAAAGAAGTTTGAGTTAAGCATAGTTTCAGTTTAAGGCGTGTTATCACCATTAGTTTGTGAAAGTCTCTTCTCTTCTTTCTATGTATTCCCTAGTAGGCCTATTCCTCCCTCCTTCAATTGGCAGCCATTTTGCTGTTCTTTAATAGTATATCGTTTTTGAGGTAAGTTCTTGAAAAATGTGTATTATTGTCCTGTATGCATATGTATTTTTAATTTACATGAATGAAACTGTACCTCTTTTTTTCTTATTTTCTTCACTGTGTTGTTTTTAAGATATATCTATATTTCTGTATGTACATATAGTCCATTACTTATTGCAGCGTGGTGTCCTGTGACACGTATCTACCACAATTTACCTCTTCACTCCATTCACACCATGAATTGTACATTGCTTCATGCCATACACACCATACATCTTCACTCTTCAGTAACAGACCCTTACAATTGCCTTCAAATTATAACTATTCCACACATAACACTATAAACAACCTCATAGTGCTGTTTTTAGAACAGTGGTTCCCACCCCAGGGCCACAAACCAATACTGGTCTGTGGCCTGTTAGAAACTGGGCTGCACGGCAGGAGATGAGCAGTGGGCAAGTCAGCCAAGTCCTCCCATTACTGTCTGAGCTCCGCCTCCTGTCAGATCAGCAGTGGCATTAGAGTCTAATAGGAGCATGAACCCTATTATGAACTGCGCATGCGAGGGATCTAGTTTGCCCACTCCTTATGAGACTAATGCCTGATGATCTGTCACTATCTCTCATCACCTCCAGATGGGACCATCTAGTTACAGGAAAACAAGCTCACCAATTCTACATTATGTTGAGTTGTATAATTATTTCATTATATATTACAGGGTAATAATAATAGAAATAAAGTGTACAATACATATAATGCACTTGAGACATCCTGAAACCATCCCTCCACAACCTGGTGTATGGAAAATTTGTCTTCCACAAAACCAGTGCCTGGTGCCAAAAGGCTGGAGACTGCTGTTTTAGAATATGTGTAAGACTTTCTTGAGATAAATAGTTACGAATGTAATCGTTGAGCCAAGGAGTTTCACTATACTTGATTTGATCAGGTATTGTTATATTAGCTTCAGAATAGCTCTATTAATCCTTACATCCTTCAATAGGGTATGAGGAGTAACATAGCCCCACATCTTTGCCAATTCTTTTTTTTTTCTTTACAGCCTGTTTACTGTTTTTATTTTGCTATTATGGTAATAGACAGAAAATTATATAAAACAATATTTTGAGGGAATTTTCTCCTGGTTGGTTTTATTTTTATTTTTTATTTTTTTATTTTGTATTTATTTTTTATTTTATTTTATTATTATTATACTTTAAGTTTTAAGGTACATGTGCAGAACGTGCAGATTTGTTACATATGTATACATGTGCCATGTTGGTATGCTGCACCCATTAACTCGTCATTTAGCATTAGGTATATCTCCTAATGCTATCCCTCCCCCCTCCCCCCACCCCACAACAGTCCCCGGTGTGTGATGTTCCCCTTCCTGTGTCCATGTGTTCTCATTGTTCAGTTCCCACCTATGAGTGAGAACATGCGGCGTTTGGTTTTTTGTCCTTGCAATAGTTTGCTGCGAATGATGGTTTCCAGCTTCATCCATGTCCCTACAAAGGACATGAACTCATCATTTTTTATGGCTGCATAGTAATTCTTGACATTATCCTACTTTTAAATTTTTGCTGATTGAATAAGTTTTTTTACAAATGTTATTGCATTCTTATTTAAATTTATATTTATTTGATGACTAATACATTTGAGCATCTCTACATACACATTTTAGTCTCTTGGGTTTTTATATCTGTAAATTTACTTTTTCTATCATTTGCCCATTGTTCCATTGATGTTGACTCGCTCAAGTTCTTTGTATATCCTAGATAATCATCCTTTGTTGGTTTTAGATATTTCAAGTATCACTTCCAAATCTGTCTTTTGTCTCTTAGCTTTGTCCATAGTGTTCTTTGTTGAACAGAAATCATTAATTTAATTTTATATCAGATTCACTGAGATTTTATTCACATACAGCAAAATGCACTAGAGATATGTGGTTCTATGACTTCGGACACTTGTATACAGGCATGTATTAATCAAGTTGTAAAATAGTTCTGTCATCACAAAACTTTCTCTCAGGAATCTTTGTTGACAATCTTCTTCCCGTCTCCAGCTCTGGCAATCAAAAGTCTAATTTCTGTACCAGTAGTTTTGCAGTGACCAAACTGTTGTTATCAACAGAATTTTAGAATAACATGTTCTGAGGATTATCCACATTACTAAATGTATCATCACTTTTTTACTCTTATTTCTAAATAGCATTTCATTGTTCAGATATATCACAGTTTGTTTATTCGCCAATTGATGAACATTTTAAAGGTCTGTTTAAAGGCTAAAACCGGCCGGGTGCGATGGTTCACACCTGTAATCCCAGCATTTTGGGAGGCTGAGGTGGGCGGATCACGAAGTCAAGAGATGGAGCCCATCCTGGCCAACATGGTGAAATCCCGTCTCTACCAAAAATACGAAAATAATTAGCTGGGCATGGTGACGTGCGTCTGTAATCCCAGCCACTCGGGAGGTTGAGGCAAGAGAATCGCTTAAACCCGGGAGGCGGAGGTTGCAGTGAGCTGAGATCGCATCACTGCACTCCAGCACTCCAGCCTGGGTGACAGAGCAAGACTCCGTCTCCAAAAAAAAAAAAAAAAAAAAAAAAAACATAGTTAAACCCATACTTTAGCCGGGCACGGTGGCTGATTCCTGTAATCCCAACACTTTGGGAGGCTGAGTTGGGTGCATCATTTGAGGTGAGGAGCTCAAGACCAGCCTGGCCAATATGGTGAAATCCCATCTCTATTAAAAATACAAAAATTAGCCAGGCTTAATGGTGGGCACCTGTAGTCCCAGCCACTCGGGAGGCTAGAACAGGAGAATTGCTTGACCCCAGGAAATGGAGTCTGCACTGAGCCGAGATCGCGCCACTGCACTCTAGCCTGGGCAACAAAGCCAGAATCCATCTCAAAAAAAAAAAAAAAAAAAAAAAGTCCATACGTTAATTTTTATATGCCTCACATCTGGCCCTTTCTCACTTCCTAACTCACTCTCTTTCCCCACCCCCAGCCCTGCTCATTTCCTACTTTCCTTACCACTTATTGTTTCTTGCTTCTCACTCATATACTCCACACTGCAAAGTAATGATGCTACCACTCTGTAGTTGTATGTGTGACCTCCAGTCCTTCGTGCAATTGTCATCACACCCTTCACTTCTAAATATTATAAATTATATTTTTGCTTTAAATAGTTGGTTGTATTTTAAGTAAATTATAAGTTGACAAATATTTTTAAAAATATTTATATATTTTAAAAATGATTTCTAGTGCACCTTATTCCTTCCTGTAGATTCAATTTTCCATCTTTCTCTTTTGCTTGGGTATCATTTATCTTTTGCCTGAAGACATCCTTTAACATTTCTTACAGTGCATATCTATTGGTGACAAAGTATCTATACTTTTATTTATCTTAAATTATCTGTATTTCACCCTAATGTTTGAAAAAAAATATTTTTTAGATATAGAATTGTGTCGAAAGTTTAAAACATTATTTTTATCACTACAAAGATATTATTTCATTATCTTCTTTTATCAATTGTTTCTGATAAGAAAGTCTGTATTCATTCCATTCCTGTTCCTATGCACATGATATATCTGAGATTTTTGTGGTGCGGTAGGAGGTTAGTGGTTCTTGCTGCCTTGAAGAATTTCCCTGTATCTTTGCTTTTCAGGAGTTTCACTATTATATGCTTAGGTGTGGTTCTCTCTTTATCCTGCTTGGATTTTGCTAAAGATTCTTGAACCAGTAAGTCAGGCTTTTTTTTTATTTGTTTGTTTAATTTTTCATCAACATGTTGAAGACTTCGAACATTATTTCTGCATTTATTTTCTACTCCAGTTTTTTTCTTCTTTTATTTCAGGTGATGATTCATATTATCTCACAGTTCTCTGAGGCTCTGTTAATTTTTCTCCCAAATTTTTACTGCTATTTTCCAAATTGGATAAGTTCTATTAATTTGTCCTTAGAATTACTGACTTTTTTCTTCATTTCCCAATCTGATCTTAAGTTCCTGCAGTGAATTTTTCATTTTAGTTATTTTGCTTTAGGTTTTCCAAATTTCCATTTCCTTCTTTTCACTATAATTTTCTTTTTCTTTTCTGATGAGTTGCCCTCTGTTTGTTAAGACCACATTTTCCTTTAATTCTTGAATATATTTATAATAATGCTTTATATTCTGTCTTCTAATTCCCCCATGGACCATCAGGTTCAATTTCTGTTGACTTTTTTCTTTATCATGAATCACAGATTTTTGATTTTTGTTTTTCATTTATTTATATTTTTATTTTTTTACATTTTGGAAAGTTTAGATTTTTGTATTTTTCCCCTGGAGAATGTTGACTCTTTTTTTAGCAGTCAGTTCAATTACTGTCTGATCATCTTAAACTTATATAGGCTTGGCTTCATACTTTGTAGGTGGGAATTTGTGTACAGTGTTTCTCAAATGATTTAATACTGTTGAGGCTCAATTTCCTAGAAGATTGTTCTAGGACTTGTTTTATGCTTTGTAAAAATAAGTCTAGGATAGGTTTTATTCTAGGGCATGACAGAAAGGTCTAGTCATGAGCTTTCTGTGATCTCTGCTGAGTGGCAGGTATTTTAATAGGGTATGAAGAAGATCTCTTTAGTCTGACAGGGCCTGAATTATAAAGTCTTCCAGCTGGCTCTTCTGTGTGACTGATTATTCTCCAGTATTTTTGATCTCCTATTAACCTCACAGCAGCTGAGACTGGGCAAGCCTTGTGATCTTGACCTGCCTATTTGCATCTCCGTCCTCTGCCAGGGACTTGTGTGAGACCTCCTTGTAGACTCCTCGGCCTTCCTCTCTGCAAAAGTTCCTCCTTTCCCATTCCCTTTTCATCAGATTTTCATTTGTTACCCATGAGTTCCCCTCAAATCTAATCTCAGAAGTACTGCTATATCCTTCTTGGAATTGTTTCTGTGCTGCTTTAGGAAATTGTTCCTTGTTAGAGAGCTGAGGGATTGTGGTGATTGCCTCAAGAGTTTTCCTTCTGTTTGAGATTTCATGCTTGCATTTCCTACTTAAGAACTATTGTCTCATAAATTTTATCCAACTTTAGTGTTGTTTAATTGAGAGGTTTAGTTTGGTGCCAGTTTAATTATGGCCAGAAACAGAAGTCTCTGCTGCATAAACCTTTATTGAAGGATAAATAAATCAGTGAAAGAAGTAGATACTTCTATCTGTATGACTCACTAGATAATGATGACTTTCTAGATATATAATGCCCTCACCCTCTCCAGCTGACATAATCACCTGAACTTACCTATTCTTGGGCAAGGAGTAGGCAATTTGATTCTAGAAAGAGATATACCGCTTACTTCACTTAAATTATGACTCTAGTAAGACTCTTCTGTCAAATGTGGTGTGCAAAGCTCTTATACTTACTTTACAAGTGAAGATTACTTGATCCTAAACATAAGTTTATAGATGAGACCACAGAACTCAATATGGACCCTGAGGCTGTGTAAAATCTCCACTCTTGCTGGTGTCACTCTGATCTCATCCCTCTTGTTTAGAACTTTAAGTTGTACCAACTCACCAGTACACTGTGTGATCATCTACCCATTAGATGACACAGGCCCTTCCATGCCCCCCAATAGCCACTACCATTCCTTACTTCTATTCCAGACTTTCCTCCTTTTCTGCTTCTTTCTAGTTTTCACTCTTCTAAATATTTAGCTTGATTCCCATTTCCAGCCTTTTTTTTTTTTTTTTTTTTTTTTGCAGTTTTGACCAGGGTTGAACATAAATTAAATCCTTACTGTTAAGGACATTCATGGCTAAAAGGCTAAAAATTAGGGAAATCCTCTTCTTCTTGCTGTCCCTAAATTAATACATACATTCTTTTAATATGGCTGTAAAAAAGAATCAGAAATTTTCAATAGACATCAGCCAGAAAGTTTTTCTTAACTATGCCCTTTTCTTTGTCTACTTGAAATAATATTAAGCAATGATTTCAAAAACCCTTCTTTGTTTTCTAAGCCCTCTTCTGTTACAATTTATCTTCTTACGTTGTTTTAGGAGTTGGAACAAGGAAGATTCCCACCTCTTTTGTCTCCATCAACCACAGTCCAGCTCCATGAACATGACCTGCTTTCCTAGCATTTAAGGTTACCTATATCCCTTTTGAAATCCACAATGATTGATGGTTATCCAGCTTTTACTTTCTTAATTTGGAAGTTCTTTTAATAGAAATATTACATATAACCAAGCAATAAATGTTTTTATAATGTTGAGAAAGAGATATTAAATGTTACTTAACATTAACACCATTTGCTCTTGCCTTGCTATAATCTATGTTGATTATTTCTAGGGAGTGGGATGGCTCAAGCCTTTCTTCAGGAGTGGGACTAGAGTGAGGCAAGTGAGATACCTAGGGCACAACGTTTATAGAGGCTTTCACTCTCAGAATCATTTAATCACCAATTTTAACCTGGTAACAGTTGATCAAGCCAAGGCCATCTTTTACAATGTGGTGAATACTTGTCATATAGCAAATAATTCAGTACCTCCACTAACCACCACACTTAATTTAGCACAATTATATCAATCTGTTTTGACTGTCTCACAAACTCAGATCTTCCTGCCATCTACCAGCTGGCCAGTACTTTCCTTTCTTCCTTTCTTTTTCCTCCTCTCTTCAATTCTTCCTTTATCTGTTGTCTTTAAAATATCAATTCAGACTCAGTTTTTTTTTTCTATTATTACACTTTTTTTTATTATTACACTTTAAGTTTTAGGGTACATGTGCACAATGTGCAAGTTAGTTACATATGTATATATGTGCCATGCTGGTGCGCTGCACCCACTAACTTGTCATCTAGCATTAGATATATCTCCCATTGCTATCCGTCCCCCCTCCCCCCACCCCACAACAGTCCCCAGAGTGTGATGTTCCCCTTCCTGTGTCCATGTGTTCTCGTTGTTCAATTCCCACCTATGAGTGAGAATATGCGGTGTTTGGTTTTTTGTCCTTGCGATAGTTTACTGAGAATGATGATTTCCAATTTCATCCATGTCCCTACAAAGGACATGAACTCATCATTTTTTATGGCTGCATAGTATTCCATGGTGTATATGTGCCACATTTTCTTAATCCAGTCTATCATTGTTGGACATTTGGGTTGGTTCCAAGTCTTTGCTATTGTGAATAATGCCACAATAAACATATGTGTGCATGTGTCTTTATAGCAGCATGATTTATAGTCCTTTGGGTATATACCCAGTAATGGGATGGCTGGGTCAAATGGTATTTCTAGTTCTAGATCCCTGAGGAATCGCCACACTGACTTCCACAAGGGTTGAACTAGTTTACAGTCCCACCAACAGTGTAAAAGTGTTCCTATTTCTCCGCATCCTCTCTAGCACCTGTTGTTTCCTGACTTTTTAATGATTGCCATTCTAACTGGTGTGAGATGGTATCTCATTGTGGTTTTGATTTGCATTTCTCTGATGGCCAGTGATGATGAGCATTTTTTCATGTGTTTTTTGGCTGCATAAATGTCTTCTTTTGAGAAGTGTCTGTTCATATCCTTCACCACTTTTTGATGGGGTTGTTTGTTTTTTTTGTTGTAAATTTGTTTGAGTTCATTGTAGATTCTGGATATTAGCCCTTTGTCAGATGAGTTGGTTGCGAAAATTTTCTCCCATTTTGTAGGTTGCCTGTTCACTCTGATGGTAGTTTCTTTTGCTGTGCAGAAGCTCTTTAGTTTAATTAGATCCCATTTGTCAATTTTCACTTTTATTGCCATTGCTTTTGGTGTTTTAGACATGAAGTCCTTGCCCATGCCTATGTCCTGAATGGTATTGTCTAGGTTTTCTTCTAGGGTTTTTATGGTTTTAGGTCTAACGTTTAAGTCTTTAATCCATCTTGAATTGATTTTTGTATAAGGTGTAAGGAAGGGATCCAGTTTCAGCTTTCTACATATGGGTAGCCAGTTTTCCCAGCACCATTTATTAAATAGGGAATCCTTTCCCCAATGCTTGTTTTTCTCAGGTTTGTCAAACAGACTCACTTTTATGACAGGCACTCTTGTAGGTACTGGGAATGCAATGGTGAAAAAGATTAATGTCTCTGTTCCCATGGAAATTGGTTTTTGGGAGAGAGGAATTAAACACATAAAAACTTTGATTTTAATAATTTCTATACAAAATAGGACAATATTATTATATTTATTTGATATATTTAATAGATGAAATTTCACAGATATTTTAATCTGTGTGGTCAATGAAGACCTCTCTGAAAAGGTGACATTAGATGATACTGAATAACTAAAAGTTGTCCTAATGATAATCATTAGGGAAAAGATTTCACAAAGATAAAACAGTAAGAACACATACCATAAGGCAGGAACAAGTTTTGCAGGTTCAACAGAAGGCACAAAATTCTTGTTTTCTGAAAGTGAGGTGAATGAGCACAATATGTGGATATGTGGATAGTAGGTACCAATCATGTAGGGTGCATGCCCAGGCAGGGCTCTCCCTGCTCCCCTATTGGTTTAGAATTTTACATATGATATCAAAATTATTTTTAGATCTCCCATACCTCTGACACTGGATAGGAGATTAGAGAGGCAGAAAAGATGAGCCAAGTTGAACATCTCAATGATATTGCTTCTCTTATTGTGTGGTTATAGGACTGACTAATAAGAAACTTGCCCTGGATATATCAGCTAATGAGTAAATATATATCTAGAAAACCTGGACATAAAGTTTAAATGCCAGTATGTTTAGGTGTCGAATGAATTTGATAGTAGCATTTGGGAAAATAACTTGTAGTCCAGGGAAGCCAAAGAAAGCCTTGTGATTTGAGGTGTATGCTTCAAAGCTAATCAGACTTCTAAGCTGAATAAATACATGATCTCATTTCTCATATAACTTTCTGCAACTTACTGGAAAATTCCAAGAGTCAGAGAGTTTATCTGTAAAATAGGAATATGACACCTGTCAGTCTCAGTTTGAGCAGAGTGGAAATATAAAGATTTAATTTAGAAAATAAAATGCTCACAAAACCTTTAGAAGAGCTGAAGGAAAAGACTTCATGTTGAGCTTCCAGGAATGATGACTGCCTGAAAAACACTACATATTAGCTACCGCTGCAGTAATAAAGAAAGTGGTAATTTGGAAATTGCTATCTGTATTAGTTTCCTACTGTTGCCTAGCAAATTACCACACCTGTAGTGAATTAAAAAGTAACATAATAATTATCTCATGACTTCCATGGGGTAGGAGTTCTGGGTAATCACAGCTGGGGCCTCTTCTCAAGGTCTCATATGTATGCAATCAGAGTGTCTCATCCAAGGCTCTGGGTCCTCTTCCAGGCTCAAGTGGTTGCTCGGGGTGGAGATTGTAGGACCAATTTAGAATTTTGCTCACCATACTGCCTGTCTGTTGGATTCAGTACTACACTGCTTTAGCCACAATCCCCTCAAGCAAAATACATCTCCTGTGCCCTGTATGCTCACACTCATGTTACTGAATGGATGATTTATTCCACCCTTGCTCACCCACTATGCTATTGGTAACAGAAGCATTACACAGCTTTTAAATATACCTGCCAGCAGAAACAGGAGATATGAAGCTTTTGCTTCCTCTTAAATATCATGCAGATGGCCAGGTGCAGTGGCTCACACCTGTAATCTCAGCACTTTGGGAGGCCGAGGCCGGCAGATCACGAGGTCAGGAGATCGAGACCATCCTGGCTAACACGGTGAAACCCCGTCTCTACTAAAAAAAAAAAAAAAAAGTACAAAAAAATTAGCCGGGTGTGGTGGCAGGTGCCTGTAGTCCCAGCTACTCGGGAGGCTGAGGCAGAATGGCGTGAACCCGGGAGGCAGAGCTTTCAGTGAGCTGAGATTGAGCCACTGCACTCCAGCCTGGGTGACAGAGTGAGAATCCATCTCAGAAAAAAAAAAAAAAAAAAAAAAGAAAAATCATGCAGATGTATTGTTTTGAAGGACTTTAGAAGATATCCGAAGTAGTAAGGGACTCTAGGAAATTGAGAATTTAACTTTCCATCTTTCTGTATACAGTAAGGATAGTATAAGGATGATGGAATAAAATTGATCCAGCCAGTTTACAATCTTAACCCAACTTTCACAGGGCTATTGGGAATAGTATATGAATAACCCAGGAATTAGTGTCCAGTGCCTTGGCCAGCAGTGTGCAATGAGTAAATGTTGGGTCACTTCTCATTTCATAAGACTAGACTTAAGATGACACATCAAAGACAGGTAGAAATCATAATTCTACTTCTGTTAAGTAAACTTCATTGAATGCTTACTTTGTGGATGGTATTTTTCCTGTATTTAATATCCATTAGCTCATTTGATTCTTACAATAAATCTATAAATTAGGTACTATTCTTCATGAGACATGTAGAGCTTAAGCAATTTGCTCAAGTTCACATATTGGAGTCAAGATATGAGCTGAGGCAGTCTGGTGCCCGAATTCGTGAACGAACTTCCTACCACCCATACAGACTTCCTTAGATTACAAGAGAATTGCTCTTCTAAAGTGTGAGATAATGAAGTCTAACAATAGTTCAATAACAGGCAATCGACCCAGGAATTTTGATTCATGTTTGTATCAGGGCCCACATGGTACAGTGCCAGGAATCTTTTATACCTATTTCCTGGGTGGCATTTTAGGTGGCAACTCTAATATAAAGACTTCTCAAATCAGAACATGTCGTTGTGAGTCCTTAGGCACCCAGGTGTGGTGCACTGTAGATATAGTTGAAGTAAAAGCACTTGCTCATCCATGTATTTCAATACCTGCTTGCCATCTATATATTTTTCTGGGCTGGTGTTTCTCCTTTGAGAGAAACTTCATTATTCATATCTCCAATTTTACTAAACATCATTTAATACAGAAAATAGGTGGTAGAACATTGTGTCAGAGCAAGTTCTTTTCATTCACTTATTTGCATATATAGTCAATTCCTCATTCATTAGATAAGGAATACATGAGGACAAAATCAGTACCAAGAATTCAAAGATTACTAATAAGGTACGTTTCATAAAGACAGGCATGCACATAGTACAACAGAGCAGGGTGTGTCTATGTGTCTATTAGATTGTACAACATTTTACTGAGAAATTTACCCTGTCTGTATGAAGCATTGACTAAACCCTTGTCAATTATCTAACTCCAGGAAATTAATTTAGATGTCATTGTATTATTCCACTTCATAGATGAAGAAGCTGAGACCCAGAAAAGTCAAGGAAATTTTAACTTTTACTTTTTTCTCTTTGGACCAGGCTCACAGTAATAAAGTGGGGGTTGAAATTTTGGAATGCTAAACTCTGTGGTCCTGAGTATATGACTCACTCTGTTAAATATGAATGTCAGTCTTCTAAGCATTGGTCTTAATACTGCATGTTCTTTGCAAAATATAAAGTGTTGTACAAATGTATGACTGAATTGTGGGTATTGCATGTTCCTGCTTGTCTGCCTTACTTTAAAGAAATCTTGGTTTCAGGGCAAAATTGAATGGATTAGATATTATTAAAGGGTGCATTGTTGTTTAGGACTAGCCAGTGTTTTTCTTCTTTTTTTGCTTATAGCACCTGGATTAGTCTGTTCTCACATTGCTACAAATCACTACCTGAGACTGGGTAATTAATAAAGAAAAGAGATTTAATTGGCTTATGGTTCTACAGGCTGCACAGGAATCATGGCTGGGGAGGCCTCAGGAAGCTTACAATCATGGCGGAAGGTGAAGGGGAAGCAAGCACATCTTCACATGGCCAGGAGGAGAGAGTGTGAAGTGGGAAGTGCTACACACTTTTAAACAACCAGATTTCATGAGAACTCACTCACTATCACAAGAACAGCAAGGAGAAAATCTGGCCAATGATCAAATCGTCTTCCACAGGTCCCTCCCTCAGCGTTGGGGATTACAATTCAACATGAGATTTGGGCGGGGACACAGAGCCAAACCATAAATGATATGAGTGCTCCCATGGCCCCTTCCAAATCTCATGACCTTCTCACATTTTAAAACAAATTATGCTTTCCCAAAAGTCCCCCAAAGGCTTAACTCGTTCAAACATTAACTCAAAATTCCACTTCCAAAGTCTCATCTGAGACAAGGCAAGTCCTTTCTGCCTATGAACCTGTAAAATAAAAAACAAGTTAGTTACTTCCAAGATATGATGGGGGTACAGGCATTGGGTAAATGCACTCATTCCAAAATGGAGAAATTGGCCTAAACAAGGGGCTAGTGGCTCCATGCAAGTCTGAAACCCAGCAGGGCAATCATTAAATTTTAAAGCTCCAAAATAATCTCCTTTGACTCCATGTCTCACATCCAGGCCACAATGATGTAAAGGGTGGGCTCCTAAGGTCTTGGGCAGCTCTGGCCCTGTCACTCTGTAGGTTACAGCCCTCATGGCTACTTTCACGGGCTGGCATTGGGTGCCTATGGCTTATTCAGCTGCACAGTGCAAGCTGCCTGTGGATCTACCATACTGGGTATGGAAGATGGTGGCCCTCTTTTAACAGCTCCACTAGGCAGTGCTCCAGTGGAGACTCTGTGTGGGGTCTCTGACCCCACATTTCCCCTCTGCAACTGCCCTGGTAGGTAGAGATTCTCCATTAGAGCTCTGCCCCTGTAGCAGACTTCTGCCTGGACATCCAGGCATTTCCATACATCCTCTGAAATCTAAGCTGAGGCTCCCAAGCCTCAGCTCTTGCCATCTGTGTAGTCACAGGCCCAACATCACATGGAAGCTGCCAAGGCTTGGGGCTTACACCCTCTGAAACAATGGCCCAAGCTGTAACTTGGCCCCTTTTAGCCATGGAGCTGGTGTGGCTGGGACACAGGGCACCATGTCCCAAGGCTTCACAGAGCAGTGGGGCCTTGGGCCTGGCCCAGGAAACCATTTTTGCCTCCTGGGCCTCCAGGCCTGTGATGGAAGGGGCTGCCACGATGGTCTCTGAAGTGCCCTGGAGGCATTTTCCCCATTGTCTTGGCTGTTAACATTCAGATCCTCTTATGCAAATTTCTGCAGCCTCGAATTCCTCCTCAGAAAATGGGTTTTTCTTTTATACCATATGGCCAGGCTGCAAATTTTCCAAATATTTATGCTCTGTTTTCCTTTTAAATATAAGTTCTAATTTCAGATCATCTCTTTGTGAACACATATGAGTTCACAAATATGAGTATACACATATGAGTATACACAAAGCAGCCAGACCACATCTTCAATGTTTTGCCCCATAGAAATTTCTTCTGCCAGATACCCTAAATCATCTCTCTCAAGCTCAAAAGTTCCACAGATCTCTAGAGCAGGGGCAAAATGCTGCCAGTTGGTTTGATAAAGCATAGCACGATTGACTTTTACTTCAGTTCCCAAAAAGTTCCTCATCTCCATCTGAGACCACCTCAGCCTGGACTTCACTGTCCATATCACTGCTGGCATTTAGTCACCACTATTCAACAAGTCTCTAGGAAGTTCCAAACTTTCCTTCATCTTTCTGCCTTCTTCTGAGCCCTCCAAACTGGTCCAACCTCTGCCTGTTACCCAGTTCCAAAGTTGCTTCCACATTTTCAGTTATCTTTACAGCAATGCCCCACTTCTCTGGTACCAATTTTCTGTATTAGTTCATTCTCACACTACTGTAAAGAACTACCTGAGACTGGGTAATTTATGAAAAATATTAATTGACTTACAGTATTACAGGCTGTATAGGAAGCATGGTTGGGGAGGCCTCAGGAAACTTAAAATCAGGGTGGAAGGTAAAGATGAAGCAAACACCTTTTTCACATGGTGGAGCAGGAGGAAGAGGGCAAAGGAGGAAGTGCTATACACTTTTAAACACTAGATCTCGTGAGAACTCACTCACTATCACAAGAACAGCAAGGGGGAAATCCACCCCCATTATCCAGTTGCCTCCTACCAGGTCCCTCCCCCAACACTGGGGATTACAATTCAACATGAGATTTGGGAGAGGACATAGAGCAAAACCGTATCAGCACCCTAATTTTACTTTGGAAAATGACCACATCCTTATTTCATGTTCTTCTGGTGGGAATGTCAATCCCTGGATTAGAAGTGTTTGCTTCAAGGCTGGGGAGATGTCCTAAGGCTGACTAATAAGTGCCCTTGCCCTAGCCCCTCCTCACTCTCAACCCAGGGTTTTGGCCAGAGCTATTGAGAATGATTATTTTCTAAAGATAGACCTTGGAGTGCCCATGCAAAGTGAAATGCAGGTTAGTTGCTTGCTGCTTGCAGTTAACAAGAGCAAGGTCTGGTATAAAGAAAGTGAATTACTCTAAAGCTAGTTTAGGAGAAGTAATACAGGCTTCCTGCTTTAAGGGTACTGCTTTGCTTTTGGATAAGAAAGAAGGCACTTTTTAAAATGCAGGGGAGGAAGAGAGCAAGGAGGGTGGTCTACATGCTAGCTCTGGTGCTTTATCTACTGGGCAGTTAAGCTGGTGACTGCTGGTGTCTTCCTGGGCAGGACTAGGCAGAAAACTCCCCAGGTGGGAGAGAGTCTTGTATCTCTTGAGGCAGTCTCCTGGTGAGAGGGAGTCTCATAGAAATGGTCTGTTATCTCTCAAGGCAACCTCCTGGTGGGTGAGAGTTTCTTTCTGGAACTTGTAAGCACATAGTTAGATGAACTTGCCCTGGAGTGACTGGTGAATGGGAGGTAAAAGGCTATATTTGCATTTCTAAGGGGCAAAGTAGGAAGTGGGGAATTGGGAGGCAAAGACAAGAGGAAAAAATTATTAAACTATCTCTTAGAAAAATGGTGGTACTAAGTTATACCCAGTTTTATAGGGCAAATTATTTCCTTTTTGTATGTAAGTTAGTTGATGTCCTTTTATCACCCTAAAACTTTGCATGTGGCCATCTCCTCCATGAATGGTAGATTCCTGAGAATATCAATGCTTTATTCATAGTAATTTTTCTAGCACAGAGTACAGTCCTCAGAACATGGGAGACTCTCAGCAAATATCTACAAATTGACAGGAGTTTATTTTAATACTTGCTGATGTTGACTTCTTTAGGGCAGAGAAAAAGTCATCCTAAGTACTCAAGAGCTTAATGTGTGGGCACCCCTAACACATCCTCCTAACACCACGCCCCGGCACAGCCAACCAAAACGGCGCCCAACACACATCCAGCTTCTACCTATATTAAAAGAGCTCCTCTCACCAATTGCTACTGAGCATGGAAATGTGTGTTTATGCTCTGAGAAAAGGCCCATTTTTTTTTTTCTTTACATAATTATGTTCAATAGTCAGGTATCAAAGGGAAGGGGGAGCTCCAACTCACATGGGTGCTAAGTAATGGCTGGTGTGTCCTTTGCATTTCTAATGCTCTCTTGTCTCAGAGGGAGGGAGGAGGAAAGGGAGGCATAAGTGAGCTGCTGAATATTTTAAGACTGATGAACAAATGACTTCATTATGGAAAAGATTGCTACTCCTCTTGTGGAATGTCATAACTTTTGGTATAATTCAGCTTTTAAAGACTCTATAGGGAAGGCTGACTCTCAGAACGAAGTGCCATTAATATTTAACACATACATACACACCAAAAAATATTAGCCCCTTAAGCTTTTATGAAGTCTTTATGGGAAAAAAAGAAGACAAAACTACAAGTAAAGTCACAGTTCCAAATAAAAAGCAACAGTCTTAACTACAGCAACTGTGGGGAGAATTAGGAAACCAATTCCAACTTTGAGTTCTTATGTCTGCAATAAATAACTATTTAAGTCCTTGGGAAATGACACAAATTCTTTTTATTTTTGTTTTTTACTCTCTATTGATTTGATTTCTTTGGTTGAGAGTGCAGTTACAGAATTATAAACTAATGATGTAACAACTATAATTGTCACCAAATATGACCTATCACTGACCTGTATATTTTATTATAAATCACTATTTCTTTTTAGAATTAGAGTGCTAGATATGTAGCATTGTGGAGTAAGTCCCCCCTCTCCTCTCACCCCTCAACCAAACTGGAAATGTTGCCTAATTAGACCTGGAGCTCCAAAGCTGGGGCTGAGCTGGAATTTTCTTGCTCTCTGTTTAATATTAAGGCCCCCAGCATCCTTGCCCTCAGTCCTTGCTTGTGTCATTCGTGGGGACATTGGTAGGTAGCTCCATAGGTACAGAGAGCTATATTTAGACAGCTAGCATGTGTTTGGTTGGTACCTTCACACAATTTCCATAAATAAATAAATAGTAGTAAATAGTGTTTGCCCGAAAAGGCAGTTGAGCTGAAGCACTGAAGGTCAAAATGCAAAGCACTCTGTGAGGATTTTTTTTAAACAATTTCTATGTTTTTAAATTACCAGATAACATTGTATGTTTTTATCATGTACAACATGATGTTCTGAAGTACATATACATTGTGGGATGGTTTAATCTAGTAATTAACAAATGCATTACCTCATACCATTTTTGTAGTAAGGGCACATGATATCCACTCTATATTTTTCAAGAATACAACATAACACCATTAACTATAGTCACCTTGCTGTACAAGAGATCTCTTGAAATTTATTCTTTCTATGGAGGATTTCTGTTCTGAGTCTCTCTACCTGGTGGCAAAGGACAGAATCAAAATAGTGTGGAGGAAGAACTCTGAAAACGTTAAAGGCGATCATCGCTGCTAAAAGCCCCTTGGGGCCAAAGGCAGAGACAGATGGATGAGGAAGCAGCAGCAGATTACAGTGGCTGATTCACAGCAGCAGGTGTTGAACTTGGACTCAGCTTTGGTTTTTAGCCAGTTGCTTACCTTTCTGTGTTCTCTTATTAATTTTAAAAGCTGTGAAGTTGTTTTGAGTCTTGAGAGTTGTCAAATTCCATCTAATTTATTATAGTTTCTTGATTTCATCAGACACTATATAATGATATATTCATTCTTCAATGCTAAATAATAGTCACGTACATGTTGCATTCTGATCTTTTTGTAGACATATGATTCTTATTGTTCATTTGCTGAATTCTTCCTCATTCATCAAGATCAATTATTTTTGCTTATAGATAATAGTAATTATTAAAACAGCATAAAACAAAAATGATCAAATGATCATTCAGTGACTGCTCAATACTCCTCAGGCACTTGGCTAAGCACTTTGATTTGGTCACATCACCTGATCTCCATAACAACCCTATGAAGTAGACTCTTGATTTTATCATGTATAAAATGAGGCTACTCAGAAAAATCAAGAATTTAACCAAAGCTAACACAGTTATAGGGGCAGTGCCAGGATTAAAACACAGGTCCACCCATGTGACTCAGAAGCTGAATCCTTAACTGTCATGCCATATGTAAGGGCTGACAGTTCTCACCACAGTCCTCCTGCTGCCATATCAAATGCATGCCTCCATTACTACATTTATCATATTGTGTCACAGTTATTGTTTTTAGTATTATTTTAATGTTTTGAGCTCATGCAGATCACTGAGAATGCAGGCACAGAACAGGGCCTGTTTTCTTAAAGAGGTCATGCCCAAGCTTGAGCTCCTGTCTTTCTGCAGCTACCTCCTACTTGTTCTTGCTGCTTCAATTCCTGCCCTGTTTCAGGGTATTTTCCACAACGCAGCCAAAGTAATCATTCCAAAATCCAAATCTGAACATGTCACTTGCCTGTTTCAAACCAACCCATGACCTCCATTGCTCTTAGGACCAAAATGGAAATCATTAGTACAACTTACAATATGATCAGATGTGGTCCCTATGCATTCAGTGCCCTCCCTGAGACAACTCACCCTGTTCTCTGCTCCAGTCACACAAGCCTTCTTGCACATTTCAGATGGGTCACCTTCCTCAAAATACCTGGTCTGGAAGCACTAACTCCCCTTCAAGTACACGCCTCCCTCTGCATAGGATATATCTGTTTCATGTACTTCATTCCCAGCCAACTTTCCTATCTGTCTTCAAAAGCACTTCCTCAGGGAAGTCTACCTTGACCTCCCTGAATAAGCAACATCTTCCTTTCATAATTACACACAATTCCATGTATCTCTCTTCTTTTGAGGCTCTTTTCTGGTTAATAATTTCCTATTTTGTAGTGTGATTATCTCATGTCCCTATAGATTCTAAGCCCTAAGAAGGCAGGAACTGTGTCTCTTTTTTGCCCACAAGATCTAGTGAATTAAGAACTCAATAGATAGACGGACGTACAGGAACAGTGCATGGAGGTGCACACAGGAAATGTGCACTGTGGTTAATAAGGGAGGTTTATTTGTCTTTTCTTAGCTATTATATCTCAAATATACAAAGAATCTTAAAGTCACTGCATCTAATTCCCTTGGCTACTTGAGTTCAGATACCATTTTAGACCTTTGATTAATGTTGGTAACTTTGATCTCCAAAGAGGTTGGTAATACAGAGCCTAAGTGTAAGCAAACAGAACTTCAACACTTACCATCTTCCTGCCTCAGGTCTGCAGTGCTTCTTACCTCACTGTGCTGTCCACGTGTATACTTCTGTTCTAATTTTTTTTATGAGACTGTAATTGTGATAGATTTCATCATTAAAGCAACACTGTGAGAAGGGTAAGGAAGTTATTGTTATACAAATCATGTGACAGACAAAGAAATGGAAGATCATTGACACTGAGCAATTATCAAGAGTGCACACCCAGTTCCAAAGCAGGATAGAGTTGAACCAAAGACACTAACTTTCCTGAATGACGTTTTAGTTAAGGGTGTGTTAATAATTTTGATCTTGCCACTTGCTAACTCTACAATCTCGTGCCTCTACCTCACTGCTCTGTCCTTAAGTTTATATTTATAAATGGTAATTATATTTAATAGTTACACATATATTAATATATGTTTGTGTGCATGTATACACACACACACATATTAGAGACAGGGTCTTGCTCTATTGCTCAGAATGAAGTGCAGTGGTGCAATCATAGTTCACCATAACCTTGAACTCCTGGGCTCAAATGATCCTCCTGCCTCAGCCTCCTGAGTAGCTGGGACTGAAGGTATGTGCTACCATGTCCGGCTAATTTTTTAAAATTACTGTTGGTAGAGACGAATATCGCTATGTTGCCCAGGTCAGATTTCACCTCCTGGACTAAAGTGATCCTTCTAGCTCAGCTTCCCAAAATGCTGGGATTACAGGTGTGAGTCACTGTGCTCAGCCAATAGCTGGACATGTTAACTTAATCATATAACTAATGAGCATTGTTATTATAACCATTAATATTGTTGGAGCTGTCCTTCCTGTGCCTGCTTTAGTGGTATCTCATTCAATATTTAAGAAATCTGAATATTCAATTTATACTGTATCTCTTTCTAAAATCCATTGTGTTTCTGACAGCTGAGAGAACCTATTGGTTAAAGCTCTGCCTTTGTGGTCACACAGCAAATTTCCATTCCCTTAGCCCAGCTCTGTAAGTACTAGCTGTGTGACCCCGCTCAAAAAACACAGCTCTTCCAAGCCTCAGTGTACCCTTATCTGTAAAATGGAAATAATATTTCTCCTACAGATTTATTTTTAGAAATAAATTAGCATAACATATAAAACATATTTATCCCTTTTTGTGCTCTTTCTGAATGCTGGGCTAATTGTTGTAGATAAAGTAATTAATAAGAGAAATAATGATTATTATTGTAAAAGGACGCTGTTCTTCAAATTGGGCCAAAAGTATATGAATTAATTTAGCAATATACTTCTCACATTTTAGAATAGAAGTATTTTTCGATTTAGCATTTGTGGTTGTATACTTATATATTCATTCAAAATAGACGTGATCTCCATTGTTTTGTGTACTTCTTTTTCCTTTCTTTTTTTTTTTTTTGAGATGGAGTCTCACTCTGTTGCACAAATAAGAGCCCCAATAACACAAAAAGCCGAATTTAAATAGCTAATAACAATTTTCAATGTCACTGAATGTTTCAGTTCTGAGGAAGACTTAATAGATTGGGTTTCTTTCAACAGGGCAAGGGAGGTGACTTGAGGCCTTGGTTAAATGGACAGGAAAGAATAGTTCCTGATATCAGTGTAGTTGGAATCTCATTACTATTCAAGGCTCTTGCTGTCCCTTTGTTCTCTGTACTTTCTAAGGCTCCAGGCATTTTTTGGGGGTTTCATTTTCATTTCATTAATTTTTTGATTTCTTTCCCCTCAGCCTGGAGACTTAAATAAAATTTTGCCTCGGTCATTCAAAAGCAAAGGGCAAGCTCCTCTCTTCAATAGAAGAGTAGGAATGTCCCTGTTTGTTTGCCTTTTAACCCTGTCTATTTCCAAAGAGGTTTTCAGGCAACATATAGCAAGCATGCAAGATATGATATCATAAGCCGTTTGCACAGATTAGAAGTCAAAATCAAGTACTAAAAAAGGCAAGAAAGGAAAACTATATAAGGAAAAGGAAGCCAAAAGAAGCTATAGCGTTTAGTGGATGTAAAACTGTGTTTTCTATTTTTCTTTGGATGATGGAGAGAATTGCTTTCACTTTCTTTGCTTTTTTCATTTTTGGTGTGTGTGTTAAGCCCTTGAGCATTATTTAAGTTAAAATTAAGAAACAGTTACAGGAATGTAGACATTTTGGGAGGAATAGTCTTCATTACATCTTGGTGTCCCTTCTGAAGACCTGCTAAAGAAATGTGCTTTAGAATTCACACCTGTAATCCCAGCATTTTGGGAGGCTGAAGCAGGCGGATCACAAGGTCAGGAGTTCGAGACCAGCCTGGTCAACATGGTGAAACCCTGTCTCTATTAAAAATACAAAAATTAGCCAGGCATGGTGGCGGGTGCCTGTAGTCCCAGCTACTTGGGAGACTGAGGCAGGAGAATTGCTAGAACCCTGGGGGGACGGAGGTGGCAGTGAGCCCAGATCTGAGATTGTGCCACTGCACTCCAGCTTGGGCGACAGAGTGAGACTGTCTCAGAAAAAAAAAAAAAAAAAAGACTTCAACTGTAGAAAAAGCCTTAAGGAAGCAGAGTTTTCTCTACTCTGATAAAGACCACCAGTATGAACATCCATATCCTCCCTTTTCCCTTGCCTATCAGGGAGCTCAGAACGTGAGGTTATAGTTGTAACTACAGCTTAACAGCTATAACTACTGTTATCTGGATAGTTGGTATGTTGTTCCTTTTTAGTGAACAACACTGATTGATTTTCTTATTCTATTTCTATACTTTCTATATACATTTTTTTTTTTGCTGTATACTACTTAAAAGTTTTTAGAAAGAGGTTATATATTATAACAACAAATTTGTTTTTCCTGCCAAGAATCATGGTGCACAAATAAGAATTCAATTTCTTAGGCAGCCCTCATTTTGAAAGACTACTACAACTTTTACTATTAGTGTTACGACTGTTATTCATAGTAAACAATGTCATCTGTCATCAGGACCAAGATATTATTGTTTTGGTTATCTTACCATATGCTCCTAGAGGAAATTGCACCTGTGTTCTTTATGCATACATTATTGAGCAATATTTTTAAAAGTTCATGTCCTTGAAAACACTTTTATAAACATCTGAAGAAGTTCCTGGTATATCCACCCTCACCAAATCATAAGGTTGATAGAGACCTCTTTACTTGCAAATCACTGGAGATATATGAGAGGCAGCACAATGTAGTTCTTATGTGTAGCTTTGTAGATGGTAGCCTACATAGTCTTGGAACTTAAACATTCTTGGAGTGGGCTGGGCGTAGTGGCTCGTGCCTTTAATCCCAGCACTTTGGGAAGCCAAGCCGGGTGAGTCACTTGAGGTCAGGTGTTCGAGGCCAGCTTGGCCAACATGGCGAAAACCCATCTCTACTAAAAATACAAAAATTAGCCGGGCATGGTGGCGTGCACCTGTAATCCCAGCTACTGGGGAGGCTGAGGCAGGAGAATCGTTTGTACCCAGGAGGTGGAGGTTGCAGTGAGCCGAGATTGGGCCACTGCACTCCAGCCTGGGCAAAAAGAGCAACACTCCATCTCAAAACAAAAAAAAAAAAGAAAAGAAAAGAAAATTCACGGTGTGAATAGTTAGGTTTTATTGTTTTATTGGTTTATCCCTAATGCGTCAGGGATATATAAATAATGCGTCAGTATATGTAAACTGTTGACTTTTGCTTTTTTAAGGAAAAACCACTAGTTGAATTTTTCCACTGATCAGTTTTTAAAATAGTGTTGTTTGTTTCTCTGTAATCCTTCAAACTGATAAATGAGTTTTGTTTTTCAGAATTATCATGAATCTGTGAATTGAAACACCTATGTGTTTCAGGCTATTGAATGTACTGACTCAATGCTTAAATTACCCTAACTTCTGCTAGTAGTACCATATGCAATTTGACTCCACATGTACCTATTTTCTTTGAAAGTGTCTGTGCTCTGATCTCCATCATTTTGTGTATTTTTTTTTTTTTTTTTTTGAGATGGAGTCTCTCTCTGTTGCCCAGGCTGCAATGCAGAGGTGCAATCTGGGCTCACTGCAACCTCCATCTCCTGGGTTCAAGTGATTCTACTGCCTCAGCCTCCCAAGTAGCTGGGATTACAGGCATCTACCACCACCCCTACCTAATTTTTGTATTTTTAGTAGAGGCGGGGTTTCGCCATGTTGGCCAGGCTGGTCTTGAACTCCTGACCTCAAGTAATCTGCCTGCCTTGGCCCCGCAACAGGCTAGGATAATATGCATGAGCTGCTGTGCCTGGCCCATTTTGTGTATTTCGTACTCTAGAACTGGAGTGAGCTGCTTCTTTAAGGAAGACTGGCTCCTAATAGAAGGGAATGAATGGTATTTATGCACCAAACTCTAGGCCTTAAGAGATGCTTCTGGCTATGGGGTTGGTCAGTGTTTCCAGGTCTTTTCAGCAGGCATAGGTAGAATGTCTGTTTTATTTATTTTTTTTTAGGATAAAATACATCACAAATTCATACTGATATTTTCTATTCTATTTCAGGAGTACGGGATTGTTCTTTAACTACATTGATCTTACATCTTCCTTCTCCCAACTTGGAAACCTGGTTTTCGATGATATCAGCATAAATACCCATTTTCTTGATCCTATAATAGCAATATACACAATAATGTTAATATGGCAATAGCTACACTCCTACTTATAATATGATTACTAAAACAAACAAACAAAAAATGAGGTTTTGTTTTGTAGTGTTTTTGCCTTAAGGTATATTCTACTACATACATGTTGTAAAGGTCTTGTTTTATTGACCCCTGGGAGACTTTCTCACTATTGCTGAAAATAAGATATATGGCTATCTGTTCATTTGTTGAATTTTACTTCTGATTTTTAAAGGAGTGTTTCGTTATGAAATTGTTTTATGATTCCATAAAATATTTATGTTTTCACAGTCAGATCTATAAAACAAGGTATATTCAAAGTAGTCTAGTCTAGTTCATCCCTGATCTCATAAGTAATCTGTATTTCATTATGTGATTTATGCTTCCATTGAAAAGAAGAGATGAGATAGAGAGACAGAGTGTGTGTGTGTGGGTGTGTGTGTGTGTGTGTGTGTGTATACATTCTTATCAAGATATGGTATCACTGGCTGTGTGTGGTGGCTCATGTTGGTAATTCCAGCACGTTGGGAAGCTGAGGCGGGTGGATCACCTGAGGCCAGGAGTTCAAGACCAGCCTGGCCAACATGGGGAAACCCTGTCTCTACTAAAAAAATAAAAAAAAATTAGCTGGGCATGGTGGCACACGCCTGTAATCCCAGCTCCTCTGGAGGCTGAAGCATGAGAATCACTGGAGTCTGGGAGCCAGAGGTTGCAGTGAGTCAAGATTGCTCAACTGCACACACACACCCCCCCCCCCCCCACACACACAAGAAAGAAATAGTATCATTATATTTCCCTCCTTACGGCTCCTTGCCTCTTTTCATTTTACTGTATTTTCCGGATATCATTTTACAGTAATTTATAGATTTATTCTGAATTATTTTATCCTGTTTCATGATACTGTGGATACTGTGATGTGTAGTTGTGCAGTATTTTATTGAAAGTGTCCTCTATTGAAGAAAATTTGTTTTACCTCAGTCTTTTGCTATCACAAATAGTGCTGAAGTAAATGGTCTTGTGCATATCTTTTAAATATTTTTTCTAAGTATCTTCCAGTAAATTCCTGGAAATGGGATTTCTAGATCAAAGAGTAAATACACATTTTATTTTGCTAGATATCACCAGATTCTCCTCCACAGGAGCTTGTTTCATTTTGCATTTCCACTGTCAATGCACAAGACTTCAGCTGGGCTTTTGACCACAGATATTCACAGGTCAAGTCTTCGGTGAATATCTGAAGGGTAGATGAACTATGCATTGCCTGAAAGAAAATGCATGTCACATGTGAACTTCAAAAACACAGATCCTTCAAGACTCAGTTCCAGTTGTATCATCTCCTAGATTTAATATTTATGATAGCTATCCTCCTCCCTCTATTTCCAGCTATAGTCTGGGTAGTTTGTTTGCTTTTACATTTCAGTAATAACCTGCATTTAGCTCTTTCATAGCTCTTGTGATACTTTGCCATTGTTATGTATCATATTGTAGATCAGGAGTCATTGATGCTGTGGACCATGAATGCTGATTTCTACAACATCAGTGCCTAACACTGTGTCTTGCACATCATAGGAAATTAATACATGATTGGCTAATTTTTTACATTGGCCTTTCGAGGTTTCTTTTAGGTCCTTAGGTCATATTTGTACATCTTTTATAAATATGTATCAAGGAAGTTATATTATTTTACTCCTAGAAGTGACTACACTCAGTGTAGAATCTGGCACAATTCCCACCTTGTGGTTCTAGGCCTCCAGCCAGAAGCTATATATGTTAAATTATGAATATTTTTCTAAAGGGGATTTCAAATTCCTGATAGATTGAAAAGACTTAACACCATTTGTTGGTCAGAAGCAAGATTCTTTTTGTTGTTGTTGTTAATATGCCACAACGAGTTGAAATGAACTGTGTACAATCCTCAGGAGGCTTAATTCCAACAACCTCCCTGTGCTTTTCACCTTCAGTAAAAGCATGGCCTAGTTACTCAAGAAGAGACACGACAAGCATTACCCAGTAATCTCCCAAGGCACTGTGGATTTATTGTAACAGATGGTTCACACACTAGACCCTTCCTAAAATTATATGACTTGGTATATGTGTGGGAGTCATTAAGTGATTCAGTTGCTGAATCATGGAACAATTACAGCAAACCAATACACTGCTCCTGTCCTGTTCTTTAACATAAATATGCAGGTATAACACTTGCAACTGCTGCAGACAGAGCTGCTGAAGAGATAGTTACAGTAGCTGCCATCTGTTAATTTCCAACATGGAATACTTAATGTGGTGTAACAGTTTACTACTTTCTCATATTATCTGATTTGATAGTGATCAACTAAATCAAGCAAATGTTGCACTTTGAGGAATTTTTGTTTTCTTTAAATCCAAGAGTACATGGGATGGTATGTTGCATAAGATCATATTATTCTTGTAATACAGCATAAATAAAATAAAACACACATATGAAAGAAGCAACAGAAAATCATAAAAAGGAACCACTGCAAAGCCAAGACCTGCCTTGCAGCACAGGGCAATAGAACAGGTCAGACTTCGGATTAAACAGACTTGGTTTGGAGTTGTGCGAACTGTGGCAGGTTAATAAGTTTCTCTGTCTCAGTTTCCTTATTTTTGAAAGTAGTGATATTAATTCATGACATATAGGATCATTCTAAAGATGAAACGTAATTATGTATATAAAGTATTAACTATAATGCTTGGTCATATTGATAGTAGACAGAATAAATGGGAGTTATCAGTTATACAGCAAGGTATTTAATATTTGAAAACCTTTCTTATGATAGCACTTTTTATTTCTTTGGGATATTTTATATCTATCTATCCATCTAAAATAGCATTATTATCTGGCCTTAGAAATATTCCACTACACATTAGCCTAAAAATTAATTATACATATATACACACAATATATACACAACTATAGCTATATCTGTATACATACTCATACACACATACCCATGTATGTGTGTGAATGCTCTTTTCCAGTGGTTCTCTCCCATGGTTTAAGTTCAAAGGTTTGACTCTCTAGTGTTAAAACTTTTACTGTATTCTCTCTTTCCCATTTGGACATGTTTTGTTCTTGCAGATTTCTCCCCTATCAATTGAGTGCTATTTTTCTAAACATTGTAGGCAATATCTATTCACCAAACTACTGTTATCTGCATTCTATCTTTCAACATTAAAACCTGAGTTAAACATTCAGTACCTGATCATATACTTGAAAATATGCTGACCCCGTCACTATTTAGTTTTCAGAGATAGCTTCAAACCTCATAATGACAGAGGCACCTGCAGAACTCTACATAGACTGTGGGTTGGGAGAAGATAGTCTTGACTGATTCTTTACTCTTTCAGAGCCTGCTTCCTGTTGGTAATAGATGGCAAATGATATGATGTTCTCAGGATTTTCATGGGACTTAAATGAGCTAATATGTTAATCTAGATAACTTTGGCATGTCACATTTCCCCATGACAGGCACTACCACTGTTTTACTGGTACCTGGCCCTCCTCCACTCCCTTGCTCACTAAAGGATTGTACTTAACCCTGTATTGGCCAGCTTGGGCTGCTATAATACAATAGCATAGACTAAGACCACAGTGGTAATGCTTTTACCAGTACAGTTTCAGTTTCTTTGAATATTTTTAAAAGGCAAAACTTAATGTAACAAAACACTCAAAAATTATAGTTTCTATGCATTTAATGCTATTTTTTCAGATAGCAAATGAGGGTGGTTGTCTGGAACATGACTAGGATTGGTATGAACAAAGTATAGCTCAGAAGAGTGTGGAAGGACTTAAATTCTTATCTCACCAATGTTATGAATTTGCTGGGAGATTTACAAGAACATTTCAGTACTTGATTTTCTCATCTTTCAAAAGGATATATGAGTGACAGCTCATCCTGTGTCAGGGGCCTGTTGTGAAGGCCAGATAAAGGCAAAAAAAGTTTAAAAATGTTACATATTATTCTTAAATTTCTCCATCAGTAGATTTGTTTTTATTATTATTTATGCTTTCACAATTACTAGGGGTCATCAATTTCATTTAAATAGCAAATATAATCTCAGTGGTATTGTATACTGCTTCCTACTGCTTCATAATGAAGGAGTTGTATACTAATTTGCAAAACTAATACATGGAAATTTCAATTTTGTGAAAAAATGTACTTCGTTGATAATAACAATTAAAATACAATCAAGAAAAAAATAGTTCATCTCGGCACACCTGTGAAAAATATGACTTAATTGAAGAATAAATGTATTACTATTTGGAAAATGAATTAACAAAACTTAGTTTTCATGATTAGAAATTACTTTTACTTATTGCCTGTTTATATAAATTTCTAAGTTGTCAAAACTTCAGGAGCTTCATTCCAGCAGGCTTGTTTTTATTATCTGAATACTTTATAAAAGCTGGGTGTGTGTGTGTGTGTGTGTGTGTGTTCAAGACAAGTAAAAAACACCCTGCTTCTTATCCATTACAATGATTTTTCCTCTGACACCCAAATACTAATTTAATCCTAGATTTAAACCAAATAATAGAAGAAACAATCATAGTAAATGTGTACATGATCCTTTACCATTTGTAATGAGTTCTCAACATTATGCCTCATTTGCCCATCACAACTGTCTTAGGAGGTTAGTCATGTTATTTACACAAAATCTACAGGAAAGTAAGACAATAAGTTTGAGAATAGAGTCTCATCCAAATTCAGTACTATTATTTTTTGTTTCCCAAATACAAAGTCCCATAAACTTAAGAGAATTTTATGTTTAAATCCTCGAGTCTTCGTCTTTCATCTATACATTTTTTTTTCTTCCAGGTTTGCACCTCAGCTTGGTTTTTAAAAAGGAGAATATTTTCTTATTATTCTCAAAAAGGACTGTATTTCTTGGGAGAAAGAAAGCCTGTCCTGCTGTGTTTGTGTCTGTCTAGAATTCTCACTGATGGCCATTTATAACTGATCAGAGACCTGAGATTTTATTTTTTCTGGTTACACCTTAGTGACTGCTGTTTTATAGCTTATTTGCCTAACATTTTCAAAATCTGTTTATATGCAAAATCATCAAATATAGTCGCCTTCTGAATGAATTACACTTTTGACTTTGTTTTGGTCAGTTTGCAAATGCCTTTCTAGAACTATAATCTTCTCTGTGTAATTTATGTCAGAAAAGATTATATCTTATTTTGCATGTTAAGATTTCTTTAAAATTATTTATTATTCATGTTACATTTTAAACTGGTGCTGGTCTATGCAGACTTTAAATGTGTTTGTCATATACCATTAGTCACTGTGTGAAATCTCTCAGTAATAGTTAGCCCTTGAATTTTCTGCAGCTAAGGAGAATTTAACACTGATTGATAGCAGATCACTTAGCTGGTTGGCAGACTTTCCAATTTACGGTGGGGAAATTGCTCTTTTCTTTTTGTTCATTCCTTCTGCTGCTTGTGCTGAGCAATAAGACATATGTGTCAGACTTCATGCAAGAAGCAGCAATGGATTGGCAATATGGCTTGTCTTGTTTACCATTATGATTTTATCAGTTTCCCAAACTGTACAGGGAATGTCAAATATCTTCGATGACATTCTTCCATTATCACAGGCAGCTTATTTATGTTTCTTTTATACTCTGCCTCCCTATATGCACTGCACAGCCTACCATCTCTTGCATGATAAACTTGCCCTGAGCCGGGAAGAAAGAGAAGTTTGTGTTGTGCTCAGATGTCCCAGGTATTTTGCTTCTGGGCTGCAGACTGACTCTACTATCAATTTTACCTTTTTCCCCTCCACACATGCTGAGGAGAAATAGCTCTCCATCATGTTGCCTTACCTATATTAGTTAGAAAACACAGTGGCCTCAAGTAACACAAAATTCAACCTAGAGTAGCTTAAACAAATGGTGGATTATTTCACTTTCATAATGAGAAATGTCAAAGCAGATGGAATCTGTTACTAGTTCAGCTGTTCACAGATGTTTTTAATGATATGAGCTTTTCTTGTTTTTGCATGCCTCCATGTTTACACAATGAAAACCAGCCAATGTTATAAATGGTGGTCTTTTGATTTCCTGGGGAGTGTTCCTTTAGAACACTGGCCTTATTCTTCATGAGTGTAGAATGGCCATGGCACCCTTACATGCTAGAAAGAGAGGAAAAAAGATTAAAAGGCAAAGGTGTTTACCTAATAAGGTTTTGTCTATATATAATTGACCCTTGAACATAGGTTTGAACTGTACAAGTCCACTTATACATACATTTTTTTCTGCCTCTGTCCCCCTGATACAGCAAGACCAACCCCTCCTCTTCCTCTCCTTCCTCAGCATACTCAACATGAAGATGATAAGAATGAAAACCTTCATAAGGATTCACTTCCACTTAATGAATACTAAATATATTTTTTCTTCCTTATGCTTTTCTTAATAACATTTTCTTTTCTCTAGCTTCCTTTATTGTGAGATGACAGTATATAATACATATAACATACAAACTACATGTTAGTTGACTGTTTATGTTACCACTTCTGGTCAACAGTAGGCTATCAGTAGTTAAGTTTTGGGGGAGTTAAAAGTTATGCACAGATTTTTGACTGTGCAGGAATTGGGGCCCATGACCCCTGTGTTGCTCAACGGTCAATTATATTCAGGTCGGGAGTGGAAAACCCTCCTAAGAAGACTTCCTTAAATGCCTCATTAGCCAGGAAAACAATACATTGCCATACTTGGACCAATCAATATCCAAGAAGAACGAGGTTGCCATAATGTCTGTTTTGGAGGAATCGACTGGCTTTGCTGTAGTTGTTTTATTTGTACATTGAAGTCTTCCAAATCCATATTTTAAGAAATAACTCTTCTTAATTTCTGCCTTCATTTGATGTAGCCTATTAAGCATCTCAAATTTAACATGCTGTAAAACTGAGTTTTTCCTTTCTCCCTCCATAAACCCACTTACCGCAACTGGCATAGGTCAATATATGGAAATATATGGAAATTTCAACTTTGTCACAGAATATAAAACTCTTATTGATAAGAGCGATTAAAATTCAATCAAAGGAATGTGGTTCATCATGGCATACCTATGTGCTTCAGGCCTGGAATTTCACCTTATATTTCAGGACTATTCCTTAAACAGTCTTTATGTTACGGTTCAAACTTTTTCTTGTTGTTAATGCAGAACAAATAATAGTAATGTAATGATAAAAATACACAGCCATAAATACCACTTACTAAATACTTTCTATATTACAGGCATTGTGTTCTACCCCTTCATACATTATAACATTTTGTCCTCCCAAGACAATATGAGCTGGGTATTAGCATCCCCATTTTCCAGGCATGGAAACAGGCACTGTTACTATTAAGTAATTCACAGCATAGATAGTCTTTCTGCAAAACACACTTCTTAACTATCTTGCAATGTCCTCTCCTTCCCAGGACTAAATTATTCAAAAGGGTGGCTGTCACTGAATGGCTTTCTGATCTCATTCAGGTAGGGTGAGTACTGGACACACAGGGATACAGCTCTAAATTGATGCTTTTTGACCCTCTTCTTGCCCTTCACCCACAGAGCTAATCCTTAGGTTCAGTAATATTCCTTTTGCTCTCTGTGTGTTTTCAGGGCATGGGAGCATTTACTGCAAAGAGTAGATTCAGGAGCATTTCCACAAAACCTAAAGCTTAAGCCCTATAAAGGATGCCTCTGTGCAGCACAAGTCAATGTCCCTAGGATAAAATTATAGACTATTTCTACTGCTGTAATTGGAGCATGGGACAGTCTTCTCTACCCCCTGCCCTTTCAAACTTACCCCCATGCAGTTTCAGGGTCCTGCTGGAAGCTCCAAAAGGAGCTTTGATTGCATTAGCTTCAAAGGATGTGCAAAGTCATTGGTGAGATCCCACTCTAGTAAGAACCCCAAACTGACCTGTTGGCCTAACAACTGCCATGCTGTTTGCTTCACCAACACTTTCAGATGACTGAGGTCTCTGGTTGGGCAAGACACTCACCATTCTTCTTCATTTTTAAATACAAGCAGGGGGTAAAAATTGTGTGAATGAGATTCAATTAATTGCCCTTTTCTCCAGTCCTCACCAATGGAGGCTTTTTAAAGTTGACTTAGCATTGCATTCAAAAGGCCTATGAAATGTGGTTTTTATTAAAAAGTTATCCATTTAACAAATATTTAATGAGCACTAAGTACACATCCAGCACTCATCTTAGCACCAGGGATAAAATATGGAATTAAACCGACAAAAATCAGTGTCCTCATGGATCATATATTCTCCATCCAAATCGTCTTATTGAAATAATTGCTTCATAATGAACAGATTAACTGCTACCTTTTCTGTAAGATCTTCTTACAACTTTACCTATCTCACCTCAAAATGTCCCATTTAATGGTGGGCTGAAGCCAGTTGATATCAGCATTCAAGAGAGCCAGTTTTTTAAATTTTCAGGAATTTTGCAAACCAATTGTTAAACATGGCCATTGTTTTAAAAATAATTATATATGAATTTACAGTTAATTAACTTATATTAGAAACCAAATTAATACATAATAAAAATCATTATTTCCTGATTATTTTACTACATTGCTGTAATCTATGCTCTGGGTTTTACTTATGTATATTGTATGAGAATGGTGGAATTATTGTACAATAATGTGTTACTGCCTCCCACCTCCATGTTCAGTGACATGATGTTGAAATGAGACATAGCGAGAGATTTACATAATGAAAACCAGCCAATGTTACAAATGGTGGTCTTTCGATTTCCTGGGGAGCCAGCTATTAAATATTTGCCAGCACAACACTAGTCCCATCTTACTGTGATTCTTTTCTTTTATAAACTTTTACAGCATTTAATTTTGTTATAACATATTCGTTAATTCTTTCCACCAACATTTGCTCAGCACGTATGGAATGTTAGGCACTGAATAAGACGCTGAGGAGTCAGAAAGAGGACGATATTGTCTTTGACCTCCAGTCATTTAGAAACTAAGATGAGTCAGAAAAATGCATAAATAATTATGCTATAGGGTAATGGATATTATAACAGTATAACCAGAGCTAAGACAATAGAAGTAATTAATGTTGGGTAAGTCAGAAGTTCTTGAGGTTTGAAAGAAGAGAAGGTGTCTGCCAGGCAGAAGTGGCAAGAAGGACATTCCACATAGAGGAAAACGTTTACAAAAGATCTGAGGCTTTGAACAGCTGGGTGAGTCTGCACAGTAATTGCTCAGTATGGCTGAAGGTTTTAGGGGAATGGTGGCAGACGAGGTGGAACAGGTATGCCAGCATTAGATCACAGAAGATTATGTTTTCATCGTCTTTGCACCCGAAGAGCATGCATGTTGAATAAAGGTTATTCAATAAGTTTTCGCTCAATAAATATTAAGAAATTTGAAGTTGTAAGATCTCCCTGTTCCCCCGTTGTTGTTGTTGTTGTTTTCCTGTGTCCTGACTGAAAATGACCAAGTGCTTTGACAACTGTCAGTCAGTCAGCTGCAGGTTTTCCCCAGCGGGATTGAACCCAAACTAGGTCTTGAATATTCCTAGGCACTAATAAAACAATCTAGGTTGTTGCCCAAAACACCGAAAGAAACTGGCCCTGGCCTTGAGACAAGTTCCTTAAACCCTCAGAAAGACTCCATATCCTGATCCCCTCTCTGGAGACATACCTAGGGAGAACACCCATTTTCTCTTCCATTGCGAGGATTGCTGCAGCACCTCTCTAAGGAAGTTCTCCTAATAAATGCTTTGGCTGGATCCTCCAGGCGTTGATTGCTTCTTTCTTTGGAATCACAACTGGTGCCTTCCCAGGATGGTTTGGGGCACTCCCTTGTGGGAAATCCGCTGCTGCTGCTTTTGGGGTGAATCCAACCATGGGTTTGGCAGGACAAAACTGTTGCCTCTCCTGGCAAAGGGGAGCTACCAACTGTGCCTGGTATTTTAATTTTTTAATTTTTTTGCCGAGTACAGTATCTTAAACCTCTTTGGTATTCTGAGAATTTTCACTTTTTCTAACCTTTCTTCCTATAATGGAATTTAAAAAAAAATAATACTTCAACAAAGGTGGACAATTTGCAATAGGGGCTCTAGACTGACTCCAAGTAGCCATAAAATGACATACACCCTATAGGCCAACAATGTATGTGTAATTACCAACCAATGGTATTCCTGTAAACCAATGAGAATTCCTGACAAACAACTTTTGTAATTTCCCTCTTCTCCTGATTCATCCTTTAAAAACGTGAGCCTCAATTAGCCGGGCCTGGTGGCAAGCGCCTGTAGTCCCAGCTACTCGGGAGGCTGAGGCAGGAGAATCGCTTGAACTCAGGAGGCAGAGGTTGCAGTGAGCCGAGATTGCACCACTGCACTCCAGCCTGGACGACAGAGCGAGACTCCATCTCAAAAACAAACAAACAAACAAAACAAAACAAAAACAAACAAAAAAAAGTGAGCCTCTCTCTTGTTCTCCAGAGCATTAGGCAACTTGGGCCTAATCCTGGGCTACAATCCTCTACCTTGGCTCAAATAAATTCTGTATTATTTTTGTTTCCGCTACTTTCTGTTAGGTTGACGAGAAGAGAACAGAGTCCTCTGAAAGAGGGGGCCTTATACAGCACAGAATTCATTAAAGCAGAAATATGCTAGGTCCCCTTTAAAAGGCTGCATCACTGGTGGACCCGAGTCTGCACAGAATGTATTAACATATCTGAGGAAAGAGTATGGATACTCCAAGGCACTTTGGTCAGCAATGGAAGTTCTGGAGGAGAGTGAGTACAAAAGCTAGTTTGTATTGTCCAGTTCTATCTAGTTAAGTTCCAGCGAGGATGCAGGGAGAATGAACTCTTGTTCTACAAGCATTTGCAATGGTCAGAAAGCTACATTGCAATTGTCAAGGATATTGTATAAATAGAAGCATCAATCTATCAAGTTTTCCAAAGGAGAACTCTCTTTGCTCTGAGTCATGTTCACAATTCATCCTTCTGATTATCATGTGCCTAATCACACAGTCTATCCTCCCACAAGGAAACATCCGGCTCTATCAGAATTTAATTAAGCTCATACTAAGTGTCAAGAACTTTGTAGAAAGGAATTGTAATATTTGAGTTTAAGGACATTCCACTTCAACGGACAATTAAACTTTTCATTGTGCATAAATAAATTGTCCTTTTGATTTTATTCATTGGTTATATGAATTTGAAGACTATGAACAGCCACTCCATTTCCCATTAAGGCATGCACGTACACAGAACTGTTTTCTTTGAGTTGACAAAAGCATTGTTGAGACTACAGGAACGAAGTGGGTCCTGTGCTGTGGTAATGAATGCAATCCCAGTGAGGGCCATGGAAGGCTGGCAGCTGGCGTTTCCTGGTGACCCTCCCCAGCATCAAAGATCACCTTTCCAGAAGTTTTAGCATTTTCATGAGTTACAGATCAAATAAAACGGAATAGTAAGTTAAGTAGAAAATACGTTGTATTCAGGACAGTCGCTAGCATTTCAAAATAAATCTATAATCTCCAGTGTTTTATTTTGATTCTTCTTTGCTATTTGCTTGCTTCTTTTTCTGGAAAAATATTCAATAAATAAGTGGTACAATAAGATTCCATCTTATCAGTCACCTCTGTAGCTACCTCTTAGAATGTTTTGTTCCTCAATATTCATTGACTCTTTCATACTATTCTTATTTCTGCTCAATGTTTTTCTCCTCCTATTTAACATGACATGTTTCATCAGTCTTTATCCCCAGATTCGTGTCTTTTTCTTCATAATACTTGCACAATATAATGCCAGATATTGATAGCTATTTCTGTTTCTTCTCTCAGAAAGTAAGTTCTCTGGTGACAGAACCTTTGTCTTATTTTCTTTACTGTCTCCAACCCCACTATTGTTGTAATTTTTTGGGAACTATAGGTTGAATATCCCTTATTGGAAATGCTTGAGACCAGAAGTGTTTCAGATTTCATTTTTTTTTCAAAATTTTGGAACATTTGCACATAACATAATGAGATATCTTGGGGATGGGATCCATGTCTAAACACAAATTTCATTTATGTTTTACATACACCTTATAGACACAGGCTGAAGGTAATTTTTACAATATTTTAAATAATTTTGTGCATGAAACAAAGTTTATGTACATTAAACCAGCAGTCTCCAACCTTTTTGGCACAGGGACCGGTGGCAAATTTTTCTATGGCCGGTGAAGGGTGGGGATGGTTTCAGGATGAAACTGTTCCACCTCAGATCATCAGGCATTAGTTAAGAGCCTCAGAAGGAGCACGCAACCTAGATCCCTCACCTGTGCAGTTCACGATAGGGTCCGGGCACCTATGAGAATCTAATGCCTCCGCTGATCTGACATGAGGTGGAGCTCAGGTGATAATCCTTGCTCTCCCTGCTGCTCACCTCCTGGTGTGCCGCCGGGCTCCTAACAGGCCGCGAACTGGCACTGGTCCTGGGCCCGAGGGTTGGGAACCCCTGCATTAAATCATCAGGAGGCAAAGGTGTCACTACCTCAACCATCCATTTGGCCAATCTGTGATTGTGTGGCATCACCATCATGCTGTGCATGGAAAAGATATATCACAGCTGAACTGGGCTAGGAGGGCCTTTTATCCCTTGGGGACGCTGAATAATTGCACTTGCAATTTGATCCAGAAACTTCACATGAGTTCAGGTATAAAATTTTCCACTGTGGTGTCATGACAGCACTCAAAAAGTTTTGGATTTTAGATCATTTGGAATTTCAGACTTTTCAGATTAGGGATGCCCAAACTGTAGTTATTTTGCTTACTAAAGTCGATTTAGATTTACATTACTCCAAGCAAATCTCCATCTTACCTATTTTTTATAAAGGTTTCCATCCAAATTATTATAAGGAAATTACATTTTTATTCCCAGAAAGTTACTGTAGTATAATGAACTATTAGAACTGTAAAGCAAAGTATCTGAGTTCATCTTGATCCCATATATTGGACTGTCTTCTATAATATTGGACAGTGTATTATATAGTATGCTGTGTAAGTTTGGATGTATCATTTTTTTTCCCTATGGATTTTCTACTTTTCCTCCCTACTTTCCAGGTTCATGGTGAAAATCAAATGAGAGCATACATAAAATACTTTTTGAATTTTTAAATACAATGTTATTAGGGTATTATTATTACTATTATTATTGAACTAAGATGGCCCAAACACTCTCTTGACAGCTAAGAAGACACTCAAAGGAAAAAAGAAATATATATACACATTTTTTTTCTTAACTCAATCATATCTCAGTCTTAGGCTTCTTCAGTTATTCAGCAGACAGGCTTTCTTGCTTTTGTTGTCATTTTATTGCCTGCGAGTGCCTATTGTCTCTATTCAAACCTGGGAAATACACATGAAGTTATGACAAGTACATGAAGTTAGGCGATAATAAGTTTTACATGTGTTTCCCTTATGTGAAATAGCATCCTTACCTCCTTAAGTGGGGAATGATTTCCCAGCCTTGGAGATATCCTGCCAGGTGTTTATTACGGCTCCACGCGAGTTCCAAACCCTATGACAAGAAATGCAAATTGAAGTATTTATGTCATTGGTTTGTGGGGCAGCCCACAGAGAAATAAAAATGTGTTTGTAAACTCTCAACATAGGTAGGCATTTTTGAAAGCCTCCAGATCTGACAGAATGAGTTCCAACTAAGAGTGTGGTATTGTTTATTACAACTTTGAGTGGCAGTCAAATATATTAAATCCATTCCAAAGATTGTAAAATGCATTAGCATTAGCAATTTAATACTGTCAACAAATTTAACTGTCACTCAGGAGCTTATCTTCCCTTGTTGTAAAAAAAAATAGCCAAAAATGAAACTCCTTTCTTGATGGACAATAATGTTCAAGGAGACAAAAGCTTTTCCATGTACACATCCACACACAGGAAGGATAGACTGCATTTAGTAAAATTAAGTGGCACAAAATTAATATAGGCATTTGGCTATGGCTGGACAACTTGAAGCCTTAAAAAATAGTTTGACAAAATGATTAACTGGTCACCACCTACTACTCAGGAAATCTGGCTCATAAAAATGCATGGGAGATGTCTCTCCAGGAGAAAATGATCTTCCAGCATCCATACGCACCTGTCAACATAGTACTTCTTCCATTAATGGGGACGTTTATGAAGTATTCTTAATAGCATGGTAAATGTTACTGCTCTGATATTAATTGAAAAAGAGCAGAACATAAAATTCCGTATAAAATATAATAACAATAATATTAGTAAATTATTATCAAAAGCCTATAAAGGACGACTCACCAGCATTGAGCATTATTTGCCAGACATCGGAATAAGCACTTCATTTATTCCATATTAGCCTTTCAGACAGGTTTGTGAGATCCATTTTTAGGCGGAGAAACTGAGGCTCAGAGAGTAAAAGTAACTTGCTTAAGAGCTCCCAGCTCCTAAATGACAGAGCCACGCTTTGATATGAAGTCTATTAATTCTGTTAATTACAAACACTCTGCTAGGTTATCTGAGACATGCTACTTTAGTATGCCAGGAGTCTTGCATGCATTATAGACATTAATTCTCACAATCACAATACAGTAAAAAAAAATTTTTCCCATTATACAGATGAGATATCTATAATGATAAAAATAAGTAACTAGCAAAATTCTCACAGAGCCACAATACTCCCTAATCATATCATTATTTCTCAACGAGACTTGCAAAAGAAAAAATGTTACCCGTGAATATCATTTGGAGAATAGATTAAGGTTATTTATTTATTATAGTGTTTAAAATTTTTAAGCAGGGAGTGCGTGTGTGGATAGACAGAGAGAAAGAAAGAGGGTAAATATTATCTGCTTAGCAACTTGTCAATCATATGCATAGTCAGAATAATCTGGCTATTCAACAGCTGAATGAGAAGTAGAAAAGCTAATCCTTCCCATAATCCTCATACTCACCACCTGGAATGTTTTGGTTTATTTTGTGCTCCTTCTACCCCAGCCTACCTTCTGGATCCTGTGAAAGTTAATGCTGCATTCTTGCTTCCCAGTGTTTTCCACGTGCATGGAAGCTCCTGTATCTTGTATACCGGGAATAGATATACATTGAGGCATATTTTAAATTGAAAGCAGCCACCTTGTTTTTTACTCAAACCTAATTGTCATACATAATTTGAGCTAACACATGCAAATCTCCTAGCACAAATTTCTGGACTGTAATAAGCAATCAACAAATTGTAATTTTCTTTCTTGATTCCCAAAAGTTCCTCCTCAACAAAATCTAAGAAGCCTTATAAGGATTTCCTCTCTGTAAGAAGAAAAAAATCCTCAAGCTTGCCTTTGTTTTTACTTTTAATAATAGTAATTTATAAGGAATAATTTTGAATATATACAAAAGTAGAGAATAGAGTCTAATAATCCTAATAAGCCCACACCTATCTTGCTTCATGTGTATCTTATCTACCCCAGTATCCCCCACCCGTAATATTTTGAAGCAAATATCTTCTTATAAATATTTTAATATGAATTTCTAGAGATAAGATTAAGAAAAAAATTGTCATAACATCATCACATTTACAAATAAGATTAATTCCTTAATATAATCAGTATCCAATTGAAACTCACATTTCCTGATTTTTAAAGATTTAGCCATTTGAATCATTACCTAATAAGGTCTATATATTATTAGACTTTATTCGATGTCTTCTACATCTTTTATTCTCTTCATTTATAGGCTTCCCTGAATCTGTTGTTCTCACAAATTTTTGTTACAGAAATTAAGCTGTAGTCTTGTAGATTTTTCCACAAGCCATACACTTACTGCCGATATTTCTCTAGCATTATTTAGTGATCCTCTTTCCCTTGTATTAGCCCTAATCATATGAAATTACTAATATTCAACTGGCCCTAATTTACAAAATGGCGATTTTAAGTGGTTCAACCTAGTATTTCTTGAAAATTGGCAGTTAGGTCTAGACTAGACCTAGTCTGCCTTTGATAGCTTGCCTGCTTTCAAATATGACAAGATGTTCCAGGCTCATATTTTATAGGCCCTGCCCGAGATTGGCAGTCAGGATTTCTTTAAGTGTTGATTTCTTCTTAGGAAATGGTAATTAGCGATCAGTTTAGATACCATGAGTGCATTCTGGTATTTTAAGTTGGTTCTTCTTTCTGGGACTTTTCAATGCACCAAGATACTGTATTTTATAATTTTAAGGTAAAATGCATAATGAGCTCATACTAATACTTTCAAATAAAATTCAGGCTTTTACTTAATCTCCTTCATCTTATATCATATTGCTATTTAATCATGGCGAAAATTCCAATTAACAACGTTACTCATTTTCTTTATGCTCTATCATGTTTAACAATACCAACAGTAGCACTAAAAATCCGATTACTGAAAAGTTTGTTTGATTCTCTTATTTATCTATTTACTTGCAGTTCTTTATATTGAGAAGATTATATCCTACTAGGATGTGCAGGAAAATTAGCATTTTATAGTTCTTTGGAACAACTTTCTAGGTGGTTGTGCTGACAACTGAATACATAATAAGATCATTATTCCATGCCACTTTTATTTCTTATGAGTTGCTTTTTAATTTTTGGAAAATAGTTACATAAAAAATGTGTATAGTTCAAAATTCAAGTCTACTAAACAAGGTAGATACATAAACGTCTGGATTCTATCTTTGTTTTCTCGATCCTTCTCCCTCCCTTTGCTTAAAAGCAGCCCTTTTATTTTGCAGTTTATTGTCCCATTGCCTTTTCTTGAGATGAAAGATAATATATGAATTAGTGTGGTAGCATAGTAACACATTCCCTCCATCTTGATTCTCTTTTTACTTAACAATGTACCCTAAAGAATACTCCATTGTTGTTTACAGCCATATTCCTCATTTCTTTCTACAGGTGCATAATACACTGTGTGCCAGTATCCTATTTATACATTTGCTGCAACTGATAGCCTTGTTTATATGTCTTTTTAATATGTTGCCACTGTATCTTTGGGATAGATTCCTAGAACTGTAATTGTTTCATCAAATAGTAAATGAATATGTAATTTTTTCTAGGTATTGCCAAATTTCCTTCCTCAAGAGTTTTAGCATTTTGCATTACCATCAGCAATGTAGGAAAAGTCTGCTTTCCCACAGCTTTGCCAGACTGTGTTGTCAAACTTCTGGAATTGTGCTGATCTGATAGTTAGAATAGCTATCCTAGCAAAGTGTTAATATGCACTTCTCTTTCTATGAGTAACGTTGAGCATCTTT